>NC_000024.10:3339127-3639537 GCF_000001405.40 Homo sapiens | reverse complement strand
CACGTATACATTGAAGTCTGTCAAATATGATATTCACTCATTTTCATAGGCAGTTTCTGTTGCTTGCATTCTTTCCAGTGCATGCATCATATATTTCTGTTTCTTTACATGCCTCATAACTTATTTCTCAGGAAGTGGAAATATGAGGTAATATATTCTAGCAACTCTGAGTCTTAGTGTCCCCACTCCAGAGTGTGTTATCTTTATTGGTTTGTTAATCTGTTTAGTAACTGGCAGGATTATTTTAATGAATTCTCTTCATCCCCACATAAGCTGAAGGCTACAATGATGCTCCTCAGAGGATCCTGCTTTGGACATGCCCATAGTCATCCTGAAAAGACAATGGGATTGGAAGACCTCTCTTTGTGTTTTTCACTGACCATACTGACCTATTAAACTCCATAAAATGCCAGCTGATTCTTTTATTTTTTTTAATCAATGCTTTGGGACATAAATTGCTTCATAGATGATAAAAATGAATCATGTTTTTTTTTTCTTTTAAGAGACGGTTTTCAAGGTCAGTTTTTGAGATTTGTTCTGATTCAGAAAGGCTCTCCTTAGCTATCTCTTTTCTTGTTTCTTTCTGAAAAACTAGCCCCTTACTGTTTAGCATACATACCCAGTGAATCTTATTTTTTACCATAACCTCCATTGTTTTTGAGACCATTAGGCTTGAAATTCTCCACACCTTTCTGCAAATGAAGTCTGTTTTTTTGGGGAAGTGACCCAGAGTTTCCTATTTTATAGCCTGTTTCTTTCCCAGGAAAAACTTTGGAGTCACAGATCTGGAAATGAAGTTGGGTATGATAGCTTGCTTCTCTCTGTTTAAGAGGTGAAGCTCATTCAAGGAAGTGGGATAGCTTCAGTTTATCTTGACTTGATTCTCCCCACATAGAACCTCTACTATATGAGCCAAGGATAAGGCAGTTGGGGGCCTAGTATTCTCTGCAGCCCCACACCTGAAGTACAATTCCTGTCCCACATATCTAGGCTAAGTGAAAACACCCACCACTTTCCTGCAGTTGTCTAGAATGTAGACTCAACAACAGGTATCTAGAGTAAGGATGAGAAAAGCTAACATCCTGTTCCTCCCAGGAAGACAGCCCTCTAGCAGAGAGATCACTGTGCTTTTGCCTGCAGTAGACTTAAATGGAGATTTCCTCTTGGTGAGCTGGGAAGTAGAAAGGAGTTGATGAATCTGTTACTAGCAGGTGGGTCTGCAGCTATCTGGAGGAGCTCTGGATTGGCAACTCTGCAGCAATCCCAGTCCATTTTCTTCTTGAAGAAAATAATTCAGATGAGAGACACAGGCAAAGTTTCAATCAGGAGGGATAATTTACTTCAAGCAAAGTAAGAGTTTATTAGAGAAAGCAGAGTGCACTTAGATGAGGGACAAGCGGTTGACTTAAAAAATCAAGTACCTTGTTTGCTTCTTTGTTTAGAGTTTTTATACCCCCTATCTTTTCCCATGCTCTGTCTGCTCCCTGTGTTCTTTCTTTGGGTGGTCTGTTGCTTAATTGTCACATGACAATGGCCTGCCAGCACTTGGGAGGGGCCATATGCACGGTGTGCTTACTGAAGTCATGTACATGCTCATTAGGGACAATTGTTCCTTACTGGTTAAGTGCCCCAAGAGGAGAGTCAGGTAGTAATAAAATTCTACCACCTTTCTCTTTTACTGCACATGCTTGAAACATTATCAGGAATTATGGCTAGCTATTTCCAGTTGTTCTCCATCTGTTGCAAGACTCCTCTCATTCCCAGTGCCAGTCATGGCTACTTATTATGAGTCAGACAACTCATAATAAGCTGATGAGAACCAGACAGCTCTGGGGTTCCTCGCTTGTCCTGCTCATCATTTCAGAGGGACAGATTTATAATTGCCTGACCACGGCTTGACAAAGGCCTAACATTCACGTGGGGAGCTTCTGTCCTGTCCTGCTCATGCCTAACTACTTACTCTTACATGGGCCTCCCTCAAACATCTGGGACCCAATTGTTTAGGGCAATGGATGATTGTTTTCCATAACTACTTCTTGGTGACAGAGTGGTGGGGATCATCCCATGGGTCTCAGCATCTTGCTAGCTGTTAGGGAAGTGTGACTCCATTCATAGGCTGGCAAAAGTGGTGTCCAACCAAATACAGGGAAGACAGAGGCATGTTTTTGTACTTGTCTAAGGATAGAGGTGAATATCCCTGTAGCATTAGAAGCTTGGTCTGAAATTGCTGGATTTTAGAAGAAATGATAAGGGTGAGGGTGTTAAGGAGGCATGGGGTCAAATGGCAAATTAATATAAACATAACTATAGGAGGAAGGATTGAGGCTGTCCATGGCCATATACAACTGGCAAATATTTTAAAGATCTGGACTAGGAAAGAGCCTTAGGGTTCTACTTTTTGGAGGTTTTTCTATATTTTAATATTCTCCTTTAACTTTCGCAAGCTCTCTTCACCTTGGGCAAGATGGAATGCCCCTAGATTGATACTAGAAGAGATTGTCATGGGCTATGTAGATGTCTGGGGATATACAGTCTATGGTTGAAGTTCCAGTTTAGCTAGGGGGGAGGCCCTGGTGAACTTATTGGCTGCAAATATAGAATGCATCTCAGGTTTTAAGACAAGTAGAGATGACAAAACAAAATAAAGATCTGACTTCTTTTTAGCATAGCTGGGGGCATGGCTAATTGCATATGTTCTCAGGTCTTGCCTAGAATTTAATGGCTTTAAAGCAGGAAAGTTGTACTGTTATTAAGAGTCACTGTATCAGTTTATGACTTTAAAGAATTTTGTAGATCTAATAACCTTTAAAATCGTTTTCATTTACCAAAGATTATTAAAGTCATGTGAACTAAAAGGCATTAAAGTTTTTCTCACAACCAAAAACCTTATAAAGACAACATAGTGAATATAAAATCTTGTTTTTAAAAAGTCAGTTACTGAAAAGGCAAAGAAAAACCTTTTGCAGTGTGACTGTTTTTCCTTATGGAAAGCCCAATCAGATAACCTGAAAGTTAAATTTGGTGAAAAGTGTTTGAATTTAATTAGATACAGCAAGAGTATGTTCAAAGTATTAGTACAGCAGAATACATGACTCTTAGGAATAGCATGAGAAGTTTTTTGGTTATGTTGAAAATGTAGACATATTAACAAAAGTCAGGAGTACAGAATTCAGTTATATTGGATAAAAACATTGCTTTTTTAGGTAAAACAATTTAGCATCGGGCCATATATGATTCTGGGGAATCGTTAAAAGAAACGGTTTATGAAATAAAAATTAAAACATCTTGTAATTTTATTAAGAGCAGATTAATACTTTAAGACAACCTTTTTTTAACATAGGAAACCAATTTTAAAGAGACTATTATGCCTTAATTACATACAACATTCCTTTTATAAATTTCCTTTCACAAATTTTTTATGAATTACATAGACCATCTACGACATGCATGGACTTTATAACCTGTCCTAAACATCTTTCTTTTTTAAACAACCAGTTATTTTACTTTAGGACAAGAATTTACCATGAAAGATCTTTTCTTATACAAAAATCTCTTTTCTTTATAACCTTCCTTATTAAAACTACCTCTTTACTTTCATAAAGTTTGAATTAGACAAAAGTCATTTTCCTTCTGTTAGGAAGTTATGGTTTGTACTACATGTTGCCAATCAAGTCCTTTGAACAGGGAACAGATAAGGAGGTTATCTACACACTGTTATCCCCCCTCAAGCAATTACTTGGTTAGATTTCTTGCTAGGGTTTGTTTGAATACATGTGGGCTATTTTTAAACTCCTGAAGTAGGACTGTCCAGGTTGAAGTTATTGGTTAAAGATTTATGTAGTTTTCCCAGGAAAAACAATATTAGAGGGAAAGATAAATTTAGAGGTTGGGTGAATATTAATCAGGCACCCATCATGGACATATATTTTTGCCCAAAGGGGTGTGGGGCATTTAGGCATTACAAGGGAATAGTGAGAGATTAATAATTGGTCCCTTAACTAATATAAAGGGGTGAGAATATTTTCTTTTGGAGGTAGCAGCTGCCATTTGCTCATATTACCCAACAGGATTTGGAGGAGAGTTTCTTAGAGCTGGAGATTAGCAAAGTAGGCAGCTCTTGAACCCAAAAGGGAAATTTATAATTTTTTTTTTTTTTTGAGACAGAGTCTCACTCTGTTGCCCAGGCTGGAGTGCAATTGTGCGATCTCGGCTCACAGCAACCTCCACCTCCTCGGTTCAAGCGACTTTCTTGCCTTAGCCTCCTGAGTAGCTGCAATTACAGGTGCATGCCACCATGCCCGGCTACTTTTTGTATTTTTAATAGAGACGGGGTTTCATCACATTAGCCAGGCTGGTCTGGAACTCCTGACCTCAAATGATCCTCCTACCTTGGCATCCCAAAGTGCTGGGATTACAGGCTTGAGCCACCATGCCCAGCCTGGAAATTTATAATTTTATTTGCCACCTCCAGAATTGCCCTTGGCTTTGTCCTGTAAATGATGGTGTCTGATTTGGGAGCTGGCTGGAGCAGAGGGCCCCTTCAGCTTAAGGCCCTTATTGGATTGGGATCTGGCCCAATATCCCTTTTGGCTCTCAAGACATTCCTTTTTCCAGTAGTCAACTTTGTGGTAGAGGAAGCAGACCTTGTGGGGATTTTTCCCATTTAGCCCATTGGGGCATTTTACTTTCCAGTGGCCTGGCTTTTTGCACAGATGGCAGTTTTCTGTCAGAATGTCCTGAGGGCAACCTGGAGAGGGCTAGAGGGCTTGTACCGTAGCCAATAGTTGAGCCTGCCTCTTGTCCCTGCAGTTTTCCTTCTCTTTAGCCTTATCCTTCTTATTTTGCTCTTGGTTATAAAAGGCTGCAGAGGCTAACTTGAGGATTTCCTACATAGGGGGTCTGGGGTTTTAGGCTGGCTTTTGTAATTTTTTCCAGTTTATTTTAGGCCAAACTGTATTACAAATTAAAGCTAGTTTTTCCTTGTTATTATATGGTTTTAGGGAATCACATTTTTCAATTCCTTAAGGATGCATCCAAGGGGTATGTCCTGTGGTATGGAGATGCAATTACCCAACTGTGAAGAGAGAATAGAGGAGAAAAAGGAAAAAGTAGGTGGCCCCTCTTATATCCTTATTATCTTTTCCTGAACACAGCATCCCCCATTTGTATTTGAAGTTCTTGAATAAACCCATCTCACCAGGTACCCTTAATCTTGGTGCCATATCATCTTATGGAGGCACAATTACCCACTACAGAACAGAGGGGATATGGGAATGAACAAGGGCCCTCTATTTATCCTTTGGGCCCCAAAATAAACTGGTGTTACTGAGTACCACAAACCTTTTCTTCATCTCTGTTTTAATGGTAATCTGTTCTGTGCTGTAGCCTGGGACCAGCCTTCACCTCTCTTCTATGGGTACTTTGGTATCTTGCACCTGCAGCCATGGGTGGGCGTATATCCCTGCCTCCCTGACCTTGCAGTGACCCCCATCTGGAGCATCTTAGCAATTAAATGATGATTTCCCATCCTCTCATGCTTCCATTCCCCAGGTCCTTTTAGGTAGATGTCCTATTCCCTTTCAAGCTCCAAAGAGGCTGGGCTTTTTTTTTTTTTTTTTTTTTTGTATGTAGGCTTGGAGATCTTTGTGCATTTTGAGAATGACATGGAGAGGTTCAGAAGAAGGTAGGAAAATTCCATCCTCTGTTAGCAACATGAAAAAGAAGTGTTTAAACAATCAAGGCAATCACTATCTAACAGGTGGATAGGTAAGGAAGCCTGGTGGATATTCATGGAAAGCCCTTGTGCTTTCACAGAAACAGCAGCCTCTGGTCCCTAGTGGGCAGTGCTTGTTCGCATTTTTGATAAAAAGGAGAAACCTCTGGAGAACCAGGGAGTTTGGAATAAAGAGTCTTACTAGGTGCAGGAAAAATGTTCTCTTTTCCCAAAAAGGAACTACCCCCAGAATTGAGGTAGGGGGTGTCCTTAAAGGACCACAATTGGAGGCTATGTCAAAGTGGATAAACCTCTTTAAGGACCAGCAGAATACTAATTCCTGGAGCTTGCTGGGGATAAAGAATGGTAAGTAAAGATAGTAAGTAATCAGTAGTTGATAGAGCCAGGGCTCTGAGAAGTGCTTATTTTGACAGTGAGCCAAGAGGCAGGGGATAGGCTGGAGATCATCCAGACTGGAGGGGTAAAAGCAAGTGTAGATATCAAGGGACACCAGTAAAGGTGTCTGCCTCTTGGCTGCCAGGAAGACACAGCAAAGGCCACAAGCACACAAATGGCAAACAAGGAGTGTAGGTTTGAAGTAGGAAAATAACTCGCATGGCACACAAAGTGAGAGTGGAAAAGAGGCTGACTTGCCCCTGAGGCAAATAGTGCAGTTAGTGTGCGTGGTCATTTCAGAGGACACATAAAAGGGCACGAGAGAATAGATGACCCAGGTGTGGGTTTCGGGAAAGACTTGATTTTAGTTGAAGGAGAAAAGGGAAGTACCCCAGACATTGCACAGCCCAGGCTTAAACCTGCTACCCTTGCAAGCCTCCTGTCAGGAGAGGCACAGTAGTTGAGGTCTGCAGGGTCTGGACCCTAAAGTCCACCCACCTCTGGGAATCACCTCCAAGATGAGCTGAGAAATCAGCTGGAGGGAGCAGAGCCACTGTAGCTAAGGGGAATTGTCCTGCAGAAGAGTTAGTAAGCAGGAGAAAGAAAAAGTGAAGTGAAAAAAAAAGAAACAAGTAGAAGGAGGAAAAAGGGGAAAGGAAGGAAAAGAAATGAGTGGGAGACAAAAAGGAAAAAAGAGAAAGGAGGAGAGACCACCTACAAGAGTTTGAATGCTTCTAGCCAAAGAAGGTGAGGCATTGCAGCATCTTACCACTAGATAGCATATCCCAGTATGTAACAACAGTATGTTACCCGCAGGTGAGTGTGCAGCTATCTCTGTCCTTTTTCTTTTCCAAGGAAAGAATTCAAAGGAAACACACATGCTGGAGATAGGCTCCCAAATCTGGCCATAAACTGGCCCCAAAACTGGCCACAAACAAAATCTCTGCAGCACTGTGACATGTTTGTGATGGCCACGATGCCCACGCTGAAGGTTGTGGGTTTACCGGAATGATGGCAAGGAACACCTGGCCCACCCAGGGCAGAAAACCGCTTAAAGGCATTCTTAAACCACAAACAATAGCACCAGCGATCTGTGCCTTAAGGACATGTTCCTGTTCCAGATAACTAGCCAAAGCCCATCCCTTTGTTTCAGCCCATCCCTTTGTTTCCCGTAAGCAATACTTTTAGTTAATCTATCATCTATAGAAATAATGCTTATCACTGGCTTGCTGTCAATAAATACGTGGGTAAATCTCTGTTCGGGGCTGTCAGCTCTGAAGGCTGTGAGTCCCCTGATTTCCCACTCCACACTCTATATTGCTGTGTGTGTGTCTTTAATTCGTGTGTGTCTTTAATTCCTCTAGTGCCGCTGGGTTAGGGTCTCCATGACTGAGCTGGTCTCAGCAGACACAGACAAGGTTTAAAGTAGAAGGGAGAATTCATTTTAAGCAAAATGAGGGTTTACTTGAGAAACCAGAGTACTTACATGAGGGACAAGCACGAAACTTGTAAAAAAAAATCAAATGCCTCATCCACCTCTTTGTTTAGAGTTTTTATACCCCCTATCTTTTCCTGGGCTCTGTCTCTTCCCTGTTCTTCCCCCTGGGTGAGTTGTCACTTAATTACTGCATGTGCAGTGTCCCTGACAGCACTTGGGAGGGGCCGCATGCACAGTGTGTTTATGGAACTCATACACATGCTCATTTGGGTCAATTCTCCCTTACTGGTCCAATGTCCCCAGAGGAAGGTGATGTACTGGTCAAATCCCATCATCTTGCTTTTTTTTTTAATTATACTTTAAGTTCTAGGGTACATGTGCACAACGTGCAGGTTTGTTACATATGTATACATGTGCCATGTTGGTGTGCTGCACCCATTAACTCGTCATTTACATTAAGTATATCTCCTAATGCTATCCCTCCCCCCTCCCCCCACCCCACAACAGTCCCCGGTGTGTAATGTTCCCCTTCCTGTGTCCATATGTTCTCATTGTTCAATTCCCACCTATGAGTGAGAAAATGTGGTGCTTGGTTTTTTGGCCTTGCGATAGTTTGCTGAGAATGATGGTTTCCAGCTTCATCCATGTACCTACAAAGGACATGAATTCATCCTTTTTTATGGCTGCATAGTATTCCATGGTGTATATGTGCCACATTTTCTTAATCCAGTCTATCACTGTTGGACATTTGGGTTGGTTCCAAGTCTTTGCTATTGTGAATAGTGCCGCAATAAACATACGTGTGCATGTGTCTTTATAGCAGCATGATTTATAATCCTTTGGGTATATACCCAGTAATGGGATGGGTGGGTCAAATGGTATTTCTAGTTCTAGATCCCTGAGGAATCGCCACACTGTCTTCCACAATGGTTGAACCAGTTTACAGTCCCACCAACAGTGTAAAAGTGTTCCTATTTCTCCACATACTCTCCAGCACCTGTTGTTTCCTGACTTTTTAATGATCGCCATTCTAACTGGTGTGAGATGGTATCTCATTGTGGTTTTGATTTGCATTTCTCTAATGATCAGTGATGATGAGCATTTTTTCATGTGTCTTTTGGCTGCATAAATGTCTTCTTTTGAGAAGTGTCTGTTCATATCCTTCACCCACTTGTTGATGGGGTTGTTTTTTTCTTGTAAATTTGTTTGAGTTCTTTGTAGATTCTGGATATTAGCCCTTTGTCAGATGAGTAGATTGAAAAAAATTTCTCCCATTCTGTAGGTTGCCTGTTCACTCTGATGGTAGTTTCTTTTGCTGTGCAGAAGCTCTTTAGTTTAATTGGATCCCATTTGTCAATTTTGGCTTTTGTTGCCATTGCTTTTGGTGTTTTAGACATGAAGTCCTTGCCCATGCCTATATCCTGAATGGTATTGCCCTCATGCTTGAATCTTCATCAGGAATTATGACTTGCTAACTCCAGGTGTCTTCTGTCTGTTGCAAGAATCCTGTCATTCCCGGCACCAGTCATGGCCACTTATTATCTCAGAGGAACAGTTTTATGCCTACCTCTTTTTCACTCAATGGAAACCAGACAGTTCTGGAGTTCCTCCCTTGTCCTGCTCATCATTTCAAAGGGACATTTATAATTGCCTGACCATGGCTTGACAAATGCCCAACATTCTTGGGTTGGGGAGTGGAGGAGTAAGGGGCAGGGTGGGGCTCTTTCCTACCCTATTCTTGTCTGACTACATACTTTAACAGATGTATTAGATAGGCACAAAAGTAATTGAGGTTTTTGCCATTGAAAGTAACAGCAAAAACCGCAGTTACTTTTGAGCCAACCTAATAGCTCAAATACCACAGATTTTATCTGTTCTTACTGTTTTAGTAGATATTCTCAAATAAATGTTTCTTCCTTTCCCGTATACCTTTAAGATTAATTCTGGAGACCTTAAATGTTTTATTTTTTAAAAAGAATAATTTTTACCAGTTTTCTGTAGAGTGAGTTTGCAGTACTCCTCATACTGTCATGGTAGTAGTGAAACTCATGGTGCACATTTTAAATAGAAATTTTTCTATACCTATTAACAACGTATAAGTATAGAGCAGTTCCAGTTCAAGATAATTGACTAGAAGCTGCTAGCGTGTGTGACTCTCACAGAGAGGAAACAACGTGGTGAGTAAATACCTGCTCTTCAAGTGGATCATCTAAGAGATCCTGTTGGGATTCACCAAGGAAGAGTAAACCCAGAAAATCTGAGACAGGTCTCAGTTAATTTAGAAAGTTTCTTTTGCCAAGGTTGAGGATGCATACCCGCGACACAGCCACAGGAAGTCCTGACATGTGCCCAAGGTGGTCAGGGCACAGCTTGGTTTTACAGATTTTAGGTTTAGTATATGAGACATGAACTAATATGTGTAAGAAGCACATTAGTTCCACCCAGAAAGGCAAGGACAAACTCAAAACAAGGAGGGGCTTCCAGGTCACAGGTGGGTGAGAGAAAATGGTTGCATTCTTTTGAGTTTCTAATAAGCCTTTCCAAAGGAGGCAATCAGAATATGCATCTATCTCAGTGAGCAGAGGGATGACTTTGAATAGAGTGGGAGACAGGTTTGCCCTGCGCAGTTTCTAGCTTGAATTTTCCTTTTAGCTTAGTAATTTGGGAGGCCCAAGATATTTTGCTTTCACAGAAGCAATAGGACCCATGGAAAAAAAAGAAAGGAGCAAAGCCAGGCAGCCCTTTCCCCAAATTAAGGAGCTTCGCCTGGCTCTACACCAGTCCCACACCTCACTTCCACTGCTTCCTGATGCCTTCTGGCACACGGTGCACTCACCTGCCCGTGCCTGAGCATTTCAGCTGCACCCTAGAGCCCTTCTGGAAACCCTACCCCCACACAGCTGTGATACTTCCTCAGGCTCCTACCATACAAGCCTCATGCCTGTACCTGCCTGAGAGTTTCACCAGTGACCTGGGGACCAGCCCACCCTTCCCCATCACACCCAGCACCTGAACACTGGGCAATTCTGACCCTGGTTCAGCCTCTTCAGGATTTGTAAACAGTGGCAAGGGTGCCATCTAGGGACCTAGGAACTGGGGAAGTACCTACCCCATTCCAACTCTGCTGTCACTTCTCCACTTCCCCCAGGGCCTGAGGTCAGGCTGACCCAACCCGCAGATACCACCACAACCAACACCCACTTGCAAAAGCCCAAAGTTGGAGCCCTCCCTCTTACATGAAGCACCAGAGCTAAGATATCAGAGAACAGATGGGGCATAATGCTATCTGTATCAGGCCGAGTGACAAAATTCTGCCCCAACACCACTCCCTTGAGAGTGACAAAACAAGCCTTTCCCAAGGCTTTCAATCACACTGTGGTCCAAAGATAGACTACAGTGTGCATCTGATCTAGAAGTCATGAACCTCAGAACAGGAATGGGATAGGGAAATAGCCCATGTTTCTGTCTATCTAGGATGGGGAGCCAGTGAAACCCCCTCACCCTCCTGCAGAGACCTCAGCACATTTCACCAGGAGCTCCACCCAGCCCCCCGGGTCAGGGCTGGTGCCTGTGCATACAATAAGGGTATTCATGGGCAAGACAGGGGCTTCAGCTCTTCCGAGATATGTGTCCCAACCCCTGCAAAACAGGAAACTCAGGGCACTGGGCACCCCATTGTCTAGCCCATCACCTGAAATAATAGAGAGCACCTCGGAGTAAACAAAGATTAGGTATTTACTGATCTGCTTATGTTGCAGGTGGCTCTTACCCATAATCACCATCTACTGGCCCTATAGGTTGAACTGCACAACCCAATATAAAGCCCGCCAACACAAGTGCATAGGGTTATGGAAGCATAGCCAAATGAGCCTACTTAACATATTATACAGTCACACTTAACATATTATACAGACACACCCATGTTTTGGGGGAGGCTAAAGGAAAAATTATGTAGGGAAAGGAATAAAAATCCTTTCCATATGAAAATAATTACAAAAATTAGAAGTGTCAGCATTTCCAGGTGAGAAAGAATCAGCTTAATCATTCTGGCATCATAAAAACCTAAATGTTGTGACACCACCAAAGGATTGCACTAGTTCTGTAGCAATGATCCCTAACCAAAATGGAAACTCACAAATGATAAAGAATTCAAATCATGGATTTCAAGAAAGCTCAATAAGATTCAGATCAAGGTTGAAAATCAAACAAAGAAAGTAATAAAGCAATGCAGAAAATGATGAAAGAGATTAGCATCTTAAAAAGTAATCAGAGCTTCTGAAATAGAAAAATTCACTCAAGGAATTTCAAAATACAATCGAAAGCTTTATTGAGAGATATGACCAAGCAGAATAAAGAATTTCAGAGGTTGAAGACAAGTCTTTCAAACTAAGTATTTCCAGTCAGAAATAAAAACTAAAAATAAAAATGAAAGCTTTGAGGAATATAAGGTTATGCAAAGTAACCAAACCTATAAATTATTGGCATTCCTGAGAGGAAAGAAGAAAAAGTAAACAACCTATAAAACGTATTTGAGGAAATAAGTCAAGAAAATTTTCCTAATCTTCCTAGAGAGGTAGACATTCAGATACAAGAAATAAAGAGAACACATGCAAGATACTACCCAAAATAAACGTCACCAAGGCATAAGTCACCAGACTATCCAAGTTTAACCCCAAAGAAAAAAATCTTAAAGACACCTTGAGAAAATGATCAGATCACTTACAAAGGGAACCTCATCAGGCTGCTAGTAGATTCTCAGAAGAAACTTTATAAGCCAGAAGAGATGGGAGCCTATTCTCAGCATTCTTAAAAAAAAGAAATTCTGACCAAGAATTTCATACCTTGCCAAACTAAGCTTCATAAGCAAAGAAGAAATAAAATATTTTCCTGAGAAGCAATTGCTAAGGTAATTTGTTACCAGCAGACTAGCCTTACAAGAAATAATGGAGTGCTAAACATGGAAGAGAATGATACCTGATATCAAAAACACACACTTAAGTACATAGCTCACAGACCCAATAAAACAACTACACAATGGAGACTACAAGGCAACAAACTGACAGCTTCATGATAGGATGAAAACCACACATATCAATATTAACTTTGAATGTCAATTGTCTACACTTCCCAATTAAAAGTTTCAGAGTGGCAAATTGGATTTTAAAAAAGACCCATCCATCTTTTATCTTCAAGACACCCCTCTCACTTGTAATGATACTAACTGGTTCAAAGACAGGGTTGGAGGAGGATATATCATGTGAATGGAAAACAAAAAAAGGGTGAGTCATCATTATTACATCAAATAAAACAGACCTTAAACCAACGACAGTAAAAAAGGACAAAGAAGGACATTACATAATGATAATGAATTCATTTCAACATGAAGATAAACTATCCTAAACATATAAGCACCCAACACTGAAGCATCCAGATTAATAAAACAGGTATTTCTAGACCTACAAAAAGACAGCCACACAATAATATTGGGGACTCCTCACTGACAACACTAGACAGATGATCAAAGCAGAAAGCTAACAACGAAATTCTGGACTTAAATTTGACCCTTGACTAATTGGACATAATATACATCTACAGAATTCTTCACCCATCAAATACAGAATATGCATGCTTCTCATGTGCACATGGAACATATTGTAAGATTTCCAACATTCTTTGCCATAAAGCAAGTAAGTCTCAGTAAATTCAAAAAAATGAAATTATACCAATTATACTCTTGGAACACATTGGGGTAAAAATAGAAATCAATACCAAGAAGTTCTCTGAAAACCACACAACATGGAAACTAAACAACTTGCTTCTGAATTACTTTTGTGTAAACAACAAAATTAATACAGAAATAAAAAAAATCTTTGAAATAAGTGAAAACAGAGACATGAAATACCAAAATTTCTTGGATGCAGCAAATGCAGTGTTAAGAGGAAAATTCAGAGGGCTTAATCCCTACATCAAGTTAGAATGATCTCAAATTAACAACATAACATTGCACCCAGAGGGACTTAAAAACAGGAACAAACTAACCACATGGCTAGCAGAAGAAAAAAAATTAAAAACAGGGCAGGATTGAATGAAATTGACACCCAAATATTCATACAAAGGATCAACAAAACCAGAAGTTGGACCTTTGAAAGGATAAAAATGATCTATAGTCTGTTAGTTAGATTAACAAAGAAAAAAAGAGAGAAGTTCCAAATAAGCACATTCAGAAATGACAAAGGTGATATCGCAAATGATCCCACAGAAATGCAAAAGATTCTTGGAGAGTAATATGAACATCTCTATGTACACAAATTAGAAAATCTAGAGGAAATAGATAAATTCCTGGAACATTCCATCTCTAGATTAAATCAAGAAGAAACTGAAACCCTGAAGAGGCCAGTATTGAATTCCAATGTTGAAACAATAGTAAAAATCCTACAAGCCCAAAAAAATCCCTGGACTAAATGGATTTACAGCCAAATTTTACCATATATACAAAAAAGAGTTACTACCAATCCTATTGAAACTATTCCAAAAAAATAGAGGAGGAAGAAGTCCTCCCTAATTCATTCTTTGAAGATAACATCATCCTGATACCAAAATCTGGCAAAGAAATAAGGAAAAAGAAAACTACAGGCCAATATTTCTGATGAACATAGACACAAAAATCCTCAACACCATAATAGTAAATTGAATCCAGCAGCACATCAAAAAGTAAATTCACCAGGATCAAGAAGGCTTCATTCTTGGGATGCAAGCTTGTGTCAATATGCACAAATCAATAAATGCAATTCACCACGTAAACAGAAGGAAACACCAAAACCATATAATAATTTCAATATATGTAATAAAAGCTTTCAATAAAATCCAACATCCCTTCATGATAAAAACCCTCAACAAACAAGGCATTGAAGGAACATATCTTAAAAAAAATCAGAGCCATCTATGAAAAACCAACAGCTGACATCATTCTGAATGGGCAAAACCTGGAATCATTCCACTTGAGAGCTGGAAAAAACACAGATGCCCACTCTCACCACTCCTATTCAAGGTAGTTTTGGAAGTCCTAGCCAGAGAAATCAGGCAAGAGAAAAAAAATAAGGCATCCAAATTGGAAAAAAGAAAGCCAATTATCCCTCCTCACTGATGATACTTTTCTATACCTAGAGACCCCTAAAGACTCTGCCAAAAGGCTCCCAGAACTGATTAACAACTTCAGTTAAGTTTCAGGATACAAAGTCAATGTAGAAAAATCAATAGCATTTATATGTTCCAGTAATGTTCAAGCTAAGAGCCAAAGAAAGAGCATAATCTCATTTACATTAGTCACAGAAAAATAAAATACCTAGGAATATATTTAACCTAGGAGGTGAAAGATCTCTACAAAAAGAACTACAAAACACTGCTGAAATAAATCACAGATGACACAAACAAATGAGAATACATTCTGTGCTCACAGATTGGAAGAGTCAATATAATGGTCACACTGCCCAAATAAATGTACAGATTCAATGCTTGATATGATTTTGATGTTTTGTCTTTTTCAAATCTCATGTTGAAATGTGATTCCCAATGTTGGAGGTGGAACCTAGTGGGAGGTGCTTGGGTCATGGAGGAGGATCCCTCATAAATGGCCTGGTTCTGTCTTTGAGGTACAAGGGAGTTCTCATCCTATCAGTTCATGCAAGATGTGATTGTTTAAAAGAGAATAGCACCTCCACCTCTCTCCCTTTCTCCCTCTCTTTCCATGTGATATACCAGCTCCCCCTTTGCCTTCTGCTATAGTTGTAAGCTTCCTGAAACCTCACCAGAAACAAGCCAGGACCATACTTCTTGTACAGTGCAGAAACGTCATGTAAAATAAACTGATTTTCTTTACAAATCACCCAGGCTTTGGTATTTCTTTATACCAACACAAGAGCAGACTAACACAATGCTATTGCTATCAAACTACTGACATTTTCTTCATTATTTTTTATAGAATTAAAAGACACATTTTACAATTCTTATGGAACTAATAAAAGAGCCCTGATAGCCAAAGCAATCCTAAGCAGAAAGAGCAAAGCCATAGCCATTACATCGTCAAGCTTGAAACTATACTATGCGGTTACAGTAATCAAAAGAGTAAGGCACTAGTAAAAAAACAGATACATAGACCAATGTAACAGAATAAAGAGCCCAGAAGTCAAGCCACACACCTACAACCAACTGATTTTTAACAGTCAACAAAAATAAGCAATGGTGAAAGGACCCACTATTCAATAAATTGTGCTTGGATACCTGACAAGCTATATGCAGAAGATTGAAGCTGAATGCCTACTGTTAACCATATTGAGAGGTGACAGCGTGTTGGCAGTCCTCAGAGCCTTTGTTTGCTCTCGGCACCTCCTCTGTCTGGGCTCCCACTTTGGCGGCATTTGAGGAGCCTTTCAGCCTACTACTGTACTGTGGCAGCCCCTTTCCAGGCTGGCCAAGGCTGGAGCCTACTCCTTCAGCTTGCAAGGAGGTGTGGAGGGAGAGGCGCGAGCGGGAACCGGGGCTGCGTGCCGCGCTTGCGGGCCAGCTGGAGTTCCCGGTAGGCGTGGGCTTGGTGACCCCGCACTCGGAGCAGCCCGCCAGCCCTGCTGGCCCCAGGCAATAAAGGACTTAGCACCCGGGCCAGCGGCTGCGGAAGGTGTACTAGGTCCCCCAGCAGTGCCAGCCCACCGGCACCGCGCTCGATTTCTCACGGAGCCTTAGCGGCCTTCCCGCAGGGCAGGGCTCAGGACCTGCAGCCTGCCATGCCTGAGCCTCCCACCCACTCCATAGGCTCCTGTGTGGCCAGAGCCTCCCCGACGAGCACCACCCCCTGCTCCAGGGTGCCCAGTCCCCTCGACCACCTAAGGGCTGAAGAGTGCGAGCGCATGGCGCGGGACTGGCAGGCAGCTCCACCTGCAGCCCCGGTGCGAGATCCACTACGTGAAGCCAGCTGGGCTCCTGAGTCTGGTGAGGACGTGGAGAGTCTTTATGTCTAGCTCAGGGATTGTGAATACACCAATCGGCACTCTGTATCTAGCTCAAGGTTTGTAAACACACCAATCAGCACCCTGTGTTTAGCTCAAGGTTTGTGAGTGCACCAATCGACACTCTGTATCTAGCTGCTCTGGTAGGGCCTTGGAGAACCTTTATGTCTAGCTCAGGGATTGTAAACACACCAGTCAGCACCCTGTGTTTAGCTCAAGGTTTGTGAATGCACCAATCGACACTCTGTATCTGGCTGCTCTGGTGGAGCCTTGGAGAACCTGTGTGTGGAAACTCTGTATCTAACTAATCTGATGAGGAGGTGGAGAACCTTTGTATCTAGCTCAGGGATTGTAAACGCACCAATCAGCGCCCTGTCAAAACAGGCCACTCGTCTCTACCAATCAGCAAGATGTGGGTGGGGCCAGATAAGAGAATAAAAGCAGGCTGCCCGAGCCAGCAGCGGCAACCTGCTTAGGTCCTCCTTCCACACTGTGGAAGCTTTGTTCTTTCACTCTTTGCAATAAATCTTGCTACTGCTCACTCTTCGGGTCCACACTGCTTTTATGAGCTGTAACACTCACCGCGAAAGTCTGCAGCTTCACTCCTAAAGCCAGCGAGACCACAAGCCCACCAGGAGGAACAAACAATTCCAGACGCGCTGTCTTAAGAGCTGTAACACTCACGGCGAAGGTCTGCAACTTCACTCCTGAGCCAGCGAGACCACGAACCCATCAGAGAGAAGAAACTCTGAACACATCAGAAGGAATAAACTCCTGACGTGCCACCTTAAGAGCTGTAACACTCACCACGAAGGTCTGCGGCTTCATTCTTAAAGTCAGTGAGACCAAGAACCCACCAATTCTGGACACAATATCTAAAAATTAACCCCAAACAGATGAAAGATTTAAATTTAAGACTTTTCAAATTTGAGAACTATAAAAATCCTAGAAGACAATCAAGAAAATACTCTTCTTGACACTAGCCTTGATAAAGGATTTTTAGCTAAGTCCCCAAAAGCAATTGCAATGAAAGCAAAAATTGACAAGTGGGACCTAATTAAACTGAAGAGCTTCTGCACAGTAAAATAAACTATCAACAGAGTAAAAAGACAACTTACGGAAGGAGAAAAGATATTTGCAAACTGTTCATGTGACAGAGGTCTAAAATCCAGAATTTATAGGGAATCTATGATATGGCTTTTTAAACCATATTCATCTTATATGTATTTATAAAATAAAATTTGTAGTTAAGTAAAGATATTCCATTACCAAAAAAGTAGTTTCTTTTGCAACTAAAATGTGATAACTCTTCATGTATTATAGGAATATTATGCTTTGGGGGTGACAATTTAGATATTTACTTAAAAATATACCAACTTCAACAAACATATCAGGACCACACAAGAATGAATATATTCATAAGCTTGATGTTTTCTATTACATGTATTTCCTTTTAGCTTTTATTTTGAAATATCAAGGTATATTCTTAGTAGGTGCCTTATCATATATATGTTTCATATTTTTTCAGTTGATTTTTAACTAAGGAGAAATGCAAGTACAAAACTTCCATTTTCAGCAGTCACATTATAAAAATGTGAAAGTCTTTCAGAGGAAGAGTGATAATGCATTTATATTCTAGCCATTCTATATTTCTTGGAGAAGAATGTGGATATTTTATGTACACATATTTGAACATTAAAAACTGAAGACCTGTGGTCAACTTAAAGCAAATGAGAGACGCTTGATGTACTTCATGGTACCTCAATTGACTTTCTACAGCAAACTGCGTACTTGCATGCTTGCTTTTATTTACAGGACTTTCACTTCTTGGAACTGTGGCAAACAAGATAGAGTGAGAAATATATATAGGCATACCTTGGAGGTATTATTGGTTTGGTTCCAGACCACCTCAATAAAGTGAAGATTGCAATAAAGCAACTCACACAATTTGTTTGGTTTTGCAGTGCATACAAAAGTTATGTTTAGAGTATACTGCAGTCTATTAAATGTTAAATAGCATTTTGTCTAAAAAAAATACATACTTTAATTAAAAATACTTTATTGCCAGAAAATGCTAACAATGATCTGAGCCTTCAATGAGTCATAATCTTTTTGCTGGAATCTTGCCTTGATGTTGATGGCTGCTGACTGATCAGAGTAGTGGCTGCTGAAGTTTGGGGTGGCTGCAGCAATTTTTAAAAATAAGAACAATTAAGTTTGCAGCATTCATTGACACACAAAAACATTTCTCTGCAGCATGAAATGCTGTTGGATTGCATTGCTATTTGATACTGTCTAGTTGAACTTTTCTCAAAATTGGAGTCAATCCTCTCAAACCCTGCCACTGCTTTATCAACTAAGTTTAATATTCTAAATCTCTTATTGGCATTTCAACAATATTCACAGCATCTTCACCAAAATTATATTCCATTTCAAGAAACCATTTTTTTTGGCTCAAACACAAGAAGAAACTCTTCACCTATTCAAGTTTTATCATGAGATTGCAACAATTCAGTCACATTTTCAGGCTCCACTTCTAATTCCACTTTTCTTGCTGTTTTCACCACATCTGCAGTGACTTCCTCCAGTGAAGTCTTGAACCCCTCAAAGTCATCCTATGAGGGTTGCAACAAGCTTCCTCTGAACCCTTGACAATTTTAATATTTTGACCTACTCCATAAATCATGAATGTTCTTTATGGCATCTATAATGGTTCTTTTCAGAAAGTTTTCAATTTACTTTCCCGAAGTTACTGAGATATATCACTATCTATGGCAGCTACAGCCTTACAAAATTTATTTCTTAAATAATAAGCCTTGGAGAGTCAAAATCACTCCTTGATGTATGGGCTTCAGAATGGACATGGTGTTAGCAGGCAATAAAGACAACATTAATCTCCTTCCACATCTTTATTAGAGCTTTTCAATAACCATGTTTATTACTGATGAGCAGAAATGTTTTCAAAGAGTTTTTATTTTTCAGGCAGTAGGTCTCAACAGTAGGCTTAAAATATTCAATAAACTGGGCCAGGCACGGTGGCTCATGCCTGTAATCCCAGCACTTTGAGAGGCCAAGGTGGGTGGATCACGAGGTCAGGAGATCGAGACCATCCTGGCTAACACGGTGAAACCCTGTCTCCACTAAAAATATAAAAAATTAGCCAGGTGTGGTGGTGGGTGCCTGTAGTCCCAGCTACTTGGGAGGCTGAGGCAGGAGAATGGCGTGAACCTGGGAGGCGGAGCTTGCAGTGAGCTGAGATCACGCCACTGCACTCCAGCCTGGGCAACAGTGTGAGACTCTGTCTCAAAAATAATTTAGTAAACTATGCCATAAACAGACGTGCTGTAATCCAGATTTGGTTGATATATTTATAGAGCAAAGACAGAGTAGATTTAGCATAATTCTTATAGCCATAAGATTTTGGAATGTTAAATGAGCATTGACTTCAACGTAAAGCCACCAGATACACTATTACCTAACAATATAGTTAACCTGTTCTTTTGAAGCCTTAAAACCAGCCATTGACTTTTCCTTTCTAGTTATAGAAGTCCTAGATGGCAGTAGGACTTTCCAATAGAAGGCTGTTTTATTGACATTGAAAATTTGTTGTTTAATATGGCCTCCTTCATCAATTATGTTAGCTGGATCTTCTGGGTAACTTGCTGTAGCTTCTACATTACCATTTGCTGCTTCACATTATGTTGTTATGTTATAGAGATAGTTTCTTATTTAAAACCTCATGAATCAACCTCTGCTAGCTTCAAACTTTTATTCTGCAGCATCTCCAAATCTCTTAGCCTTCATAGAATTGAAAGAGAATTAGGGTCTTGCTCTGGATTAGGCTTTGGCTTAAAGGAATGATGTGGCTGGTTTGATCTTCCACCCAGATCGCTAAAACTTTCTCCATATGAGCAATAAGGCTCTTACACATTTTATCATTTGTGTGTTCACTGGAGTAACATTTTTAATTTTTATCAAGAACTTTTCCTTTGCATTCACAGCTTGGTGAGGTGGTTTGGCATAAGGGCCTACATTTTGGTTTATCTGGGCTTTCAGCATGCCTTCCTCATTAAGCTTAATTATGTCTAGCTTTTGATTTAAAGTTAGAGACATCTGACTCTTCCTTTCACTTGAGCACTTACCGGATATTGTAGGGTTCCTAACTGGCCTAATTTTAATATCATTAAGTCCCAGGGAGTACGGATGACCATAGACAGAAAGAGAGAGAGATAGGACAAGGGCTGGTTGGTGCAGCAATCAGAAAACACACAGCATTTATTAAGTTTACCATCTTGTATGGGTGTTGTTTGTGACACCCCAAAACAATTACAATAGCAACATCAAATATCAGTGATCACAGGTCACCATAACTCTCATACTCTGGTTCCAGCCCCAGCTGAGGGCTGAGGGGAATGGAAGGTTGTGGGGCAGGGAGCTGGAAGAACACTCAAGAGACAGCAGGTAGATGAGACATGGCTTTATTCAGCAGCCCCTCACAGGGTCAGTGTTACTTTTATACATTACACAAACAATAGTAGCTGAGAGCCAAGTGGTCAGCTTCTCTATGCTATGGCTATGGAAGTGAGCTTTCTCCATGTTATGTCTACATGGCTATGGTTATATAAGTCCCGGGACTGTGTGTGTGTGCCACAAACCCACTGCATCATCCAGGTTGTTTACCTCAGCCTATGCCTGCTGCCCTAAGCCTTCTTGGCTGGAGCACAGCCATGTTCTTTACAGTAACAGGTATAATAATAATTAAAAATTGGAAATGCTGGAAGTATAAATCAAAGATAAAATTCTAAGGCTTCCCCAACCACCTGAGTGGACTTCCTTCTTGGCCAGGGCATTCTTAAATTTAATCTGAAAGACTGGTTTAGGCCATGATGGGAAGTGGGGTTGGACATGCCTCATTTTGCACCTCCAGAATTAACATCAACACAGAGCTTAAGTCTGATAAGAAACATTTACAATCTATTCTTTCCGAAGCCTGATACCCAGAGGCTTCATCATGCTACCCAGAGACTTTATCAAGGCATGATAAAACCTTGGTCTCCATAACTCCTTATCTTAACCCAGACATTCCTTTCTACTGATAACTCTTTCAACCAATAGCCAATCAGAAAATTTTTAAATCTACTATGACCTAGGATCCCCCTCTCCTTTGAGTTGACCCAGCCTTTCAGGTAGAGCCAATGTAAATCTTACATGTATTGATTAATGTCTCATGTGTCCCTAAAATGTATAAAAGCAAGCTGTACCCTGACCACCTTGGGCACATGTCTTCAAGACCTCCTGAGGCTGTGTTATGGGTGCGTCCTTAACCTTAGTAAAATAAACATTCTAAATTGATTGAAATCTCTCTCGGATATTTTGGATTCACACAATCATTATCATAATGTGATGCAAAGACATAAAGTGAGCACATGCTTTTGGAAAACGGGCACTGATAAACTTATTGGATGCGGAGTTGCCACAGACCTTCAGTTTCTAAAAAAACACAGTATCAGTGAAGGACAATAAAATGAAGCACAATGAAAAAAAGGCAGGCCTGTACTTCAAGAAGTGCATCATCTTGTGGCTCTAGTTGGCTTGTAAATGGAAAGTTCAGCACCTTCTTCTTGGAGAAAAAAATAAAATTGTTTTTATTTTATTTATTTATTTTTTTTGAGATGGAGTTTCACTCTTTTTGCCCAGGCTGGAGTGCAATGGCACCATCTCGGCTCACTACAACCTCTGCCTCCCAGGTTCAAGCGATTCTTCTGCTTCAGCCTCCTGAGTAGTTGGGATTACAGGTGCGCACCACCAAGCCCAGCTAACTTTGTATTTTTAGTAGAGACAGGGTATCACCATGTTGGCCAGACTGGTCTCAAACTTCTGACGTCAGATGATCCACCCGCTTCAGCCTCCTAAAGTTCTGGGAATACAGGCATGAGCCACAGCACCCAGTCTAATAAAATTGTTTTGTTAACGGTCTTGGCTTCAATTTTGTATTCTGTATAATCACTGTTTGCAAAGCTTTACTACCAAAAATAATACTGCTGTCTATGACATTGTTTTCTCTGATCTTAGCTACATAATAAAGAAACTAAGTGAAATTAATGTCATAGCTATTATCCCTTAATTAAAATGAAGCTTATACAAAGCTTGCAATGGAAAGAGGTGCTGCTATGTTGTTATGTATTGAGTAATCTAATTCTTATCTTCAGGAATCTGAGGATTGACAGTATGTAAATAGGATGTGCAGTCATATTACTTATTCATGAATGAGCTCTTTTGCTGTAGTAAGTTGGATATAAATGTTAGTGGGTATAGTGAAAGTATTGTGAAAATTACATTTATTTTTAACTTTGTAATATGGTTTTATTGTTTAAATGAATGCTTCCTGTAGATAAAACTATTCTATTTCTATAGCACTAGAAAATTTACTAAGCTTAGAATGTCATATATGAAAGGATACATTATCCATAGGCTTTCAAGAAAGTCTTGTTTATTGAAACCAACACTTATATTTTTCGAGTGCACTCATTCCAGTCTTAATATATCTCAATCCATGCTAACTTTGAAATATAGTTCATTTATAGTTTCTCAATTATTAATAGGAGTAAAAAAACTAGTTCTAATAGCCATTTCTAAAATTATGGCTAGAGGTGTAGAATTTTGTCCACTTCTTTGATACTACATCATTATAGGTTGTCTTTGAAAATTTCAGGTTAAGAAATACAATGAAGTGTCTCTTTTCTTTCCAATAAAACAGTTCAACTGTTCAAAATTCAGGTTCAACAGAAATATGGAAATCTAAAAAAAATTTTGCTTAAGCAAATAATTTTATGACTTGCAGCTAAATCTAAGTATTTTAGTGTTATATACTCCATGGAGAAACCTTTATTAATTTGAAGTAAATACAAGGAAATCAGTGTAAGTGCTATGAAAGGTCTAAATTATGGTCTCCTCTCAAGGCATAAAAATATTAGGTATAGGCCTTATGACTCTTTTTATCTCCAGTAGCTAGTATAGTGCTTTGCATATAGGGAGTGTTCATAAATATTTGACGATGTTGAACTTAGTTTCAAAAGATGTCATTGGTGGTCTGCTTAATATGTAAGAAAAATTTCCAATTACGTACACAAAAATGTAACTCAATCGAGGCTTCAAAGATTCTTTATATACACACACACACGTGTGTGTGTGTGTGTGTGTGTGTGTATCACCTGCAATCTTGGTTTCTCTACTGATTTATATATTTGTAATTGAATGATGACTGTGTTATATAAAATTAATACATTTCCTGGGTAAATTAATACATGTTTTAAAATTTTTTTATTCCCAATAATGAAATATTAAAATCAAACTTAACCTTACAACGTGTGTGTGTGTGTGTGTGTGTGTGTGTGTCTGTTTCAATGCCATTTAAAATAGCCTGTATTATTATTATTATAAATTTTTAGGACAAAGTCTTGCTTTGTCACCCAGGCTGGAGTGCAGTGGCATGCCATTATGACTTACTGCAGCCTCGAACTACTGAGCTCAAGCAATTCTCCTGCCTCAGGCTCCTGAGTATCTAGGATTACAGGTGTTTGCCATCACACTTGGCTAATTTTTAAAATTTTTTTGCAGAGATAGAGTCTCACTTTGTTTCCTAGGCTGGTCTCTAACTCATGACCTCAAGTGATCCTCCAACATTGGCCACCCAAAGTGCTGGGAAGATAGGCATAAGCCACTACACCTGGACTATATTACATATTTGTACTTTCTAAAGCAAGTGCTAGGGAGGATGACTGACTAATAGGTCTTTTTCATTAGAATTTTTGTAATCATTGTAAATATCTTCCTTGCTGATACAATAAATAGCATTAGTACTATTTAATAATTTGATTAATAATGCTTGGAAAGATTTACACATTTTTGCCAAAATGTATTTTTTTTTAATTAACGGTCTTGGCTTTGATTTTGTATTCTGTAATAATAACCCTATCTGCTTGCTAAGCTTTACTACCAAAAATAATACCGCAGTCTGTGACACACATAGCTTTCTGTATAGGACTGAAGTGCTGGGTAATTCAGGATCACTTTTAGCTCATCACTGAATTTTTCCAGTAAATTTGGCATAGGCTTCTTTTTCTAAGTTATTTTTCTAACTATATCTGCAAAACAAATTAAAATTAAATGATAGAGGTTTGGCATGACAGTATTTTTTAACTTCACGTCTAAAAAATAATTATTTTGTTTTATTTGTATCAGTAAATATGGTATTTGAATAGAGTTTCTATCTCTCTCATGGTGAAATAAGCTTTTTAAAAATAGTAGCATTTTACTGTTTTTGGCACTAGTGATGTGTACTTCAGAGTTATAAAGACCAAAGTTCAAATCCTTACTTTATCAGACTGCGTGAATTCAAGCAAATTGCTGTTCATTGCCTCTTTTTTTTTTTTTTTTTTTTTTGAGACGGAGTTTACTCTTGTCGCCCAGGCTGGAGTGCAATGGTGCGATCTCAGCTCACTGCAACCTTTGCCTCCCGGGTTCAAGTGACTCTCCTGCCTCAGTCTCCAGAGTAACTCGGATTACAGGCTCCCGCCACACCCCCAGCTAATTTTTATACTTTTAGTAGAGATGGGGTTTCGCCATGTTGGCCAGGCTGGTCTCGAACTCCTGACCTCAGGTGATCCAACCACCTTGGCCTCCCAAACTTTCTATTTTTTAATATATGTAAAGTGTAGTACAATTCATATAGTTGTGTTGATGACTAAAGGAGATACAACACACATAAAGCAATAAATATTATGCCATACAAATTGTAAGCATTCATTATTAATTACAATTTTTTTGATAGGATAAATTTAAATTTGTTTTGCAAAATGTCATCTGTAACTATAAAACATGAAGGTTGAGGGCAAAAAGTGAGCAGGGAAATAAATTTAGATAAAAACATATTTTAGAGAAGTGATTACTAAGCTACTCTCACTGTTGATAAGTGACAAAGACATTTATGGAACTTTCAGGTTGATTGATCAGAAATTTTGTGGTATTTATTCCTCAACTCAATATAATTATACTGCCAAGCTATTAAATTAGTGACATCTAACATGGAGTGATATTTGTAAAGGAAAATATATGGAATAATATTTAATTAATAATAATACATATACAACAGTTATCTCTCCAAAATATTCAAGATAGATAGCGTCAATGAAATATAAGCAATTTAATGTATAAGTGGCTATAAGGAAGATCAGATTAATAACAATAGGTTTACAAAGCAACTACTCAGGGACCCGTTTATTCTGGAGGCTCTAATTAACTGAGTTCTCAACTGTCTAGGAATAACATACTTTGCATTACCGGTTTATCAAATGCTTTGGAATGCATTCTGGTAAATTGCCAGAAACTAAGGGAAGCAGTCCATTACCTGGGGAGCCTTAACAGCATATTTTAAAACAATATTTTATAATTGTCATTGATATCCTTGGATCTCTTTTAATTATCATGCTTCTGGTTTTTTTTTTTTGTTTTTTTTTTTTGTAATCTGATGGTAGTGGTGCTGCATGCAAATTATCTGCTGGCTAGTGTAGCTCCAACAATCCTCTTCTGGAAATAGAAGAGACATAACTCATTTCTTTTATTTTCTATTTGACATGGTAAACCAAGTGAAATTTAGATTGTTTAATGTACCAAATATCCATGCCATTACTAGTATTTGAATATATTTGAAGATGTAATATCCCGGTTGGCAGATTGACCACCTTTAGGCTTATTAAAATTGTTAATACTTTTACAACATAATTTCTGGCCTTTTTATTTTTAATCTGTTGCCAAGATAATATTTATGAGCATGTTAACCATGCTGCTGTGATAACAACAATTAATGCTTCAACTAGTTCTGCTCAGCTAAGTGTGTACAGAGGGAATAGCTGTCATGTTGTTAACACTACCCAGGACAGTCCAGAAAAAGATTTTAATTTTTTTCTTATTATATAGTTTGACATAAAACTACGATGTCATAATTATTTCTGATGTCTGAGGAGAACTCTGCATTAGTTACTCTGCTTCCGTTCCTAAGGTGCCTCTTGCTTTAGTGTCCTGGGAAAACTTCACGCCTCAAATAAATTGAACATGTGATAGACGATTACATTTGAAGCCTAGCTGACTGAAATAGACACAATAAAATAAACACACGCACACACACACACAGACACACACACACACACACACACACACATAGAAAGAAGGGGACTGGTGAAGAGATGTCATAGGAAAGGGAAAAGAGTAAAATACTGTGCTCTTAATAAGTGTAGATTTCTACAGTACTCTACCTCTCAAAGGCATAGCATAGCATTTTCCATAGTTGTATGTACTTATAGTAAATATTTGGTACAAGAAAGTCTGTAGATATAGTAGATTCAGGAATAAGTCACTGTCTTCCATGTATGATGCAAGATACTTTATTATTTTTGTGAAATAATATATTGGTCAGATACTAGGTATTGCTATACAATTTTTAGTCTCTTCTTTATTATTGCAAAGGCACATTCATATCTCTGGGTAGAAGGCATTTCTGTTTAATATTTTCTCTGAAGGACTTCAAGTTGTATATTAAGCATACTAATTTGTAGAGTACAAAGACACTCTGATTTATAAAACTCTGATGTTGATTTATTCCTATTTTTGAGAAATTTAGCATTCTAATAGAAATGGTGGGTTGAAAAAGCTGTTAAATTATTTAAAAATAAGAAATAACTTTTGTTTAGTGTTTATGGTCAATGAGACAGCATGTCCACAAATTTTAAAACTTCTTCTTTTACATAAATAAAATTAAAAGTCTTTTGAGTTTTCCTTCAGTTTTTTATTATGTAGTAATTATTTATAGAATTGTTTACTGTCAATAGTTAACAATAAGAAATTACTTGGTTATATCTCTATAAAAAGTTTTCATTCATTTACTGATTGTACATGTAGTTATTAAATGCTCTTTCTACAGAAAGCATATGGCAGAAAATGGCCTGAAACTAATACTTGGTTTTCAAAATAAACTTATAGCAACTTACGAAAAATGGATTAAACTATTTTTACTTAATATCATCAGAAATGGGGAGATATCATAGATGAAGAGATTTCTATTATCATTGTATTAGTCTGTTCTCACACCGCTAAAAAGAAATATCTGAAACTGGGTAATTTATAAAGAAAAGAGGTTTAATTGGCTCACAGTTCCACGGGCTGTATCGGAAGCATAACTGGGGAAGTTTCACAAAACTTTCAATTATGGCAGAAGGGTAAGCAGGAATGTCTTACATGGACAGAGCAGGAGGAAGGTGGGAAAGAGGTGCTACAAGCTTTTAAACAACCAGATCTTATGAGAACTCACTCACTATCATAGAACAGCAAGGGCAAAAATCTGCTCCCATGATTGTATCACCTCCTATCAGGCCATTTCTCCAACATTGGGGATTACAATTTGACATGAGATTTGGGTGGGAACATAAATCTAAACCATATCAATTATAGATGGATAGATGAGAATGAATAAAATACTCACTAATTAGTATTCCAGCAAAGGGATATTGCCTCGAAAACGCTCCTCAAAAAGGTACAAGTTACAAGAAAAAAACTTTAGGAAAAGTTTCAAAAAAGTGGCAGAAATATACTTACTGCAAAGATTCTTTAAAAATTTACTATAATCATTTTGCATATTTTTTAATTTTTGAATTGATCGTGAAATAGTCAAAGCCTATAGAAGACATAAATAATAATATAAAGAATATCATTATACTTACAACTCAGCTTAAAAAATTAAATCTTGCAATGGTGTTGAAATTTATAGTATAAATGTTTTTCAGTTTATTACTTTCCCTTTTCTCTAGAAGTGATCACTATAATTTGGTGATTGTCATTAACATAACTTTCTTCATATTTCACTGCACTTGTAGGTGTCCCTCAAAACCCCAAATTTTGAGACAGGGCTCAGGTAATTTAGAGAGTTTATTTTGACACCTTATGGTATTTGGCAGGAATAAGTATGAAATTGCCTGATTAATAAATGCAAACAAAAAATGTATGGTGTCAATTCTTAAGACATTTCTAATATTACTTTACCAATAATTCTAAAGCTAGCTTATTTATTAAAGATTTTACTTAAGTTACATAAACTTGAAAAAGTATTTGACTAGTCTTTTCTTTTTTCCTGATAAAATATCGGATTTAAACATTTTTATTTTTCTTCAAGCCAATTAATTAGAGGCCTTTTATATATTTTCAGCAGTGAAACATTGTGTAAACAACACATAAATACATAGACGTATGAAAGCACATATTATAGATTCATAAAGATCCTTTTTTTCTATCTTAGACTTTTAGATTCTTGATAACCTATTTTACAACACTGGGTGGTTGTTAGCTAAATAGCCTTAAATTTGCATATTAAAGGAAACAACTCAGGTGAAAGTTAAATAGCAAAATTTACATTATAAGGTACAGAGAGAAAAAGTCTGGTGGTGCTAGAGACGCTTTTACAGTGCAGTTAATTTTTTTAACAAAGACATTTCTGAGTGTCTAAAGTACACTCTTCATTAAAAACCCAAGAGTAGCCCCTGTTGCAATAACTATTTTAGTCAAAAAATCAGGTGAAAACAGAATTCAGTCAACTGAGAAGAAAAAAATCTTTTGCTCAAAAAAAAAAAAAAGACAAGGTCTTAAAAGAGAAAAACAAAAACAAAAACATGAAGGCTTTTTAAATACAAACACACTCATGCACACATACACACTTGGGATGCTAGCTTTTAATTAAGCTGACTTTTAACCATTGAGCTCCTTTAAAAAACATTTTAAAATCTCAGTACTATGTTTCAGCTAGGACAAATTACTGCTATTTCAGAAGCACCAAGTATCAAAAAGACTGAAATAACAACAAAAACAGAAACAAACAAACAACAATAACAACATCAACAGAAACAGGTAAGCAATACAAATGATTGCACAACTTATATGATTGCTGAGTGCTCTAATAGTAAGGAGAAATTAAGACCATCTGGTGGTCAATCTTACCTTTAGCCAAAACAAACCCTAATTCAGTTACTTACCTAGGGATGGGTCTCAGGCTGTAGACTGCCAGACTGCTCTCCTGCTCTCTACCATCCTAGAAGCGCGCGCGCGCACACACACACACACACACACACACACACACACACCCTCATCTTCCCTGTTGGAAGCGAGCTCAAACTCCACACAGGTGTTGCCTGCCTTTCATCATCATGGAAGCAGAAAAACTTGCCTTCCTTGTGTTGGAAGCAAGTAAAACTCCCCCAAAAAAGTGGAGTTGTACAGCAAAATAAGCTTTAGATATTGACCAAATTTGGGGAGATCAGGGATTGTCTGGAGGGGTTGCTCTCAGACCTCAGCAACGTTTCCTGTTGGTTTGAGCCATAAAGTTAGCTCATCAAGCGGCAATAAGAGATTTGTCGAAGGTCAGGGCCATCTCCACTCAGAATCCCCGCCGTGGTTAACAAAATGTGAATGCAGAAAATCTGAGAGAGGTCTCAGTTAGTTTAGAAAGTTTATTTTGCCAAGGTTGAGGATGCATGTCCATGACACAGCCTCAGGAAGTCCTGATGACATATGTCCAAGGTGGTTGGGCAAAGTTTGGTTTTATACATTTTAGCGAGATAGGAGACATCAAGCAATATATGTAAGAAGTACGTTGGTTCTGTCTGGAAAGGAGTGACAACTGGAAGCAAAGCCAGGAAGACTTGAAATGGGGAGGGGGCTTCCAGGTTACAGATAGGTGAGAGAAAAACAGTTGCATTCTTTTGAGTTTCTGACTAGCCTTTCCAAAGGAAGCAATCAGATAGGATTTATCTCAGTGAGCACAGGGATAACTTTGAATCGAATCGGAAGCAGGTTTGCCCTAAGCAGTTCTCAGCTGCTTCCCTTTAGCTTAGCGAGTTTTGGGGCCCAAGATATTTTCCTTTCACACCCTGAACAACAAGTGGCATGTTTTTCATGCTTTAACTTTTAATGTGTAGAATGGTTGGTGAATTTTCCTGCAATATATTTTTACATAGCAATGTTTTTAAGAGTCGTCTACATTTATAGTTGCAGCACTAGTTCCTTCATTTTTACTGTTAAATAGAATTCAATTTTATGACTGTTCCAGAATTTGTTGACTATGGTACATTCAGGCTACTCTTAATTGTTTGTCATTGTCAAAATGCTGATATGGACATTGTTGAATATGTATTCCTGAACATGTATGTGAGGGCTCTCTAGGACTGAAATTGTGATGATATGTATATCTTATACTTAAATAGAATTTGCCAAGTTATTTTCAAAATTTTCATAAATAATTTAATTCCCCTAGTGAATTTCTAAGAACTCTGTTAGCTCCACATTAGAGCCAATATTTGCATTTCAGACTTTCAAAAATAGGTATTATAGTCACATAGTTAAAATATCAAAACAATATAAAATTATATACACTGAAATATTTGTTGTTAATAGTTTAAATGTGGATCTGGAGAAAAGTCAATCACTGCAGGCAATTTATTATGGGAATTGAGTTCATTAAACAAGAAGGAGGATTAAATGTAGCATTTTGGGGTAAGGATGATAAAAGAATAAATGGTGCATTATTGGGCTGATAACTTATGTGGGAAGCTAGGGCTTATTTCTGCTGAAAATTCTATGACACAGTGTGGAATATGCCTCAGAATTTTTTGCTGATGATTGAGAGTTGCCCTTGAGGACATTAACTTCTCTGACTCTAAGCTAAGCAATCTTACAGGGCTTCATGTGAGACATGAAGTCAAGGGAGATTATTTTAAAGCTTTAATATTTAATGACTACCCTGATGGGTTTTGAACTTGCATGGGGCCTGTAACCCCTTTCTTTTCACTGATTTCTTCCTTTAGGAATGGAAATTGTTACCCAATGCCCATTCCTCCATTGTATCTTGGAAGTAACTAGCTTGTTTTTATTTTTTACAGGTTCATAGGTGAAAAGATTAGCCTTGTCTCAGATGAGACTTTAGACTCTGGAGTTAATGCTGGAAGGAGTAAAGACTTTGGGGGACTGTTAGGAAGGCATGACTGGATTTTGCAATGTTAAAAGGACATGAGATTCGGGAGGAGCTAAGGGTGGAATGTTACGGTTTTCATCTGTGTCCCCACCCAAAGTTCATGTGGAATAGTAACCTTCAATGTTGAAGGTGGGGCCTGATGGGAAGTGATTGGATTATGGGTTGAGTTTTCCCTTTGGTGCTGTTCTTGTGATACATTTCTCACCAGACATGGTTGTTTGAAAGTGTGTGGCAACTCCCCGCCTTTCTTTTCCACCTGCTCTGGCCATATGAAGTGACTCACTTCCCCTTTGCCTTCCACCACGATTGAAAGCTCCGTGAGGCCTGCCCAGTTGAGCAGAAGCCTCCATGCTTTCTATACAGCTTTTGGAACCATGAACCAATTAAAACTCTTTTCTTTGTAAATTACCCAGTCTCAGGTATTTCTTTATAGCAACTTGAGAACAAACTAATACAGGTAGCAAAATGTCTGCTACTACGCTTCCTTCTTTTCCACATCTAAAGTATTTCTCAATCCCTATAGATAACCGCTTTTAATAATGTTTTTGTATTTCCTTATAAAATTTCTTATAGAAGGCAAGCACAAAATGAATACACAATCGTTCTTCCCCATTTCTCACATACATTTTGCTGTAGAACAACATATTTTGTATTTATCCCCAACAGTACATGGTAAGATTTGTTATTCTTTTTAGCAACTGCATTATATGGATGTACTATAATTTTAAACCAGTATACCATAGATGTTCAGTTGGTTTTTTCCCCAAATTTTCCCATTTTGCTATTACAATAACAAACCTGGTTCATATGTATTTTATAGGCATTCTTGTAGAATATTTGGGGTAAATGCATTTGCAATTTTGACAGTTCTTTTGAAATTGTTTCCTAGGGGATCATAACATTTTATGCCCCATAAAACAGTGTGAAAGATCCTATTTTTCTACAGTTTCAACAACATTGTGTATTGTCAAGCTTGTGTGTTTTTTTTAATCTCATAGATAAGAGGGTTATTTCAATAAAGCTTTAAATTACCTTTCAATACCAGCAATAAAAATTTCACATCTGTTTTATATGTTTAAGGGATGATTGCACATTTTTTATAATGGTTTATGCCATTTGCCTATATTTTTACTGGGTTGTGTCTGTTTTTTTTATTTCTCTGACATATCGATGGACAGATGGATGGATGGACAGATAGATAATAGATACATAGATAACTTATGGTATAAAATTTACAAAGATTTTATCTTTTTAGTGTGCTTTGGTGGGGTATTTTTTTTAACCATAAAACAATTTTCATTATTTTTATGTAGTTAATTTATGATTTTTTTTATATATTGTGTCATAATTAGAAAGACCTTTTCCACAAAAGATTATACAAATTTTTATCCTAATACATGCATTGGCTTTTTTTTTTTTTTTGGTTGCATTCACATATTTCATCTAGTGGTATATTTCTTAATGTTCAGGAGGTATGAAGTCAACTAGTTGTCCAAACACTATTTACTAATGTCCATATTATCCCATAGGAAAATGCAGGAATCACTTTTCTCATGACTGAGGTAAGTAGGTGTATTAGATTTATATTGCTGCATACAAAATTACCAAAATCTTACTGGCTTAAAATAACAAAAGTTTGTTTTGTCATAGTTCCCATGTTTCAAAAATCCAGCATGTTTTCACTGGATTCTCTTTTTAGAGTCTTAAAAAACTGAAGTCAAAATTTCTGCTGGGCTATGGTCTTATCTGAAGGCTCAATTAAGGAAGATCTACTTGTAAGCACCATCAGATTTTTTGCAAAATTTGTTTTCTTGAAGTAGTAGGACAGAAGTTTTTATTTTTATGTTACCTGTTGACTGGGGATGACTGTCAGCAACTAGAGGCCTCTCTCAAGTCCTTTCCACATGGCCCTTCATCTCAGAAATAAAAAACCTCCCATGCATCATATTCCTCTCATGCTTTAAATATCTATGGCTTTCCCTTATGCAACAAACTGAAGAAGCAGATAATCATCCAATTGTAAGTTAAACCTTTTATTAATCTTATTTTTATTTGCAAAATACCATTTGCTGTGTAATATAATCATGGGTATAGCATCAGTGAGTGGAGATCATGAGAGACACATTAAGATTCTGCTTACCATACATATATACCTAGACCCCAGGCAGATATAGAAAACTTTTACCGAAGACTTTCTTTGATGACAAACATATTATTCCTAGTTTACCATTTCATTGAGGATATAGGGCCTTACTGTGTGTAAGGGTTGAGTTTTAACTCCCACTCTTCTCAGTTTCAAGCCCTTATCTCCTGGCCCAAAAATCCATCAAGACACAACAATCGTATGTATTCATATGTGTTAGTGTGTTCTTGCATTGTTATAAATAAATACCAGAGACTGGATAATTTGTAAAGAAAAAGTTTTATTTTGGCTCACAGTTCTACAGGCTGTAGAGGAAGCAGGGTTCCTGCATCTGCTCCTGGTGAGAGCCTCAGGAAGCTTACAATCATTGCAGAAGGAAAAGGGAAATGAGCATGTCACGTGGCAAAAGAGAGCAAGAGACAGTAAAGAGGGCCATCCCAGAATCTTATATTTTTATTTTTAAATTTTATTTTATTATTATTATTATTTTTATTGAGACAGAGTCTCACTCTGTCACCCAGGCTGGAGTACAGTGGCCAGATCTCGGCTCACTGCAACCTCCACCTCCCAGATTCAAGCAATTCTCCCGTTTCAGCTTCCCGAGTAGCTGGGATTACAGGTGTGCACCGCCACATCTGGCTAATTTTTGTATTTTTACTAGAGACAGAGTTTCACCATTTTGTCCAGTCTGGTCTCGATCTCCCAGCCTCAGATGATCTGCCTGCCTCGGTCTTCCAAAGTGCTGGGATTACAGGGGTGATTCACTGCGCCTGGCCCCAGAATCTTTTAAACAACCAGATCTTGTGTGAACTAACTGAACAAGAAGTCAGATATCACCAAGAGGATGGTGCTAAACCATTCATGAGGGATCTGCTCCCACGATCCAGTCACCTCGTACCAGGCCCTACCTACAACACTGGAAATCACATTTCAACATGAGGTTTGTGGGGGGACAAATATCCAAACAATATCACTCATATCAGCACATGATATCAGAAAGGGTGAGTCTTTCTTGTTGCTCTAGTTTCATGATCCTCTTCATTTTTATACCATAAAATTTTTTCTTCAGTTTATTAAAAATGTATCTATGCATTTAATTGTATGTTAACTGAAATTTCTAGTTGTTTTAGAAAGCTTTTGTTCTGGTTATAAGGCTACTATGAGGCATAAAATGAGAGTCTCAATTGTGTTATTTTACTTCTATTATTACCTACATTATGTAAGTTTCTGCAGATATTATTTATTTATTGCATTTATTAAAGAAAAAGGTGAGCAAATTAAGAGATACAATTTTATTCAAACATAAAGCACAAGAAGAGCAATTTCATGAAACCCATGTTTATAATAATATGTTTCAGTTGCTAAAAACCTGAAATTCCTAATGGAGATAACTGCATATTTGTTTTCCAATCAGCAATTCAAGACAGCATTTTTATTTTCATATAGTAATACAATATGTATATCTATCCATCTATCTATATGTAATTTTGGGTGATTAAAATAATCACACATAGGGATTATTCACAGATAGTAGTAGCAGATAGATATTTTGCTATTGCAAAACACATTCAGAGGCTGGTTGTCAGTCACATAAAAAATGGTTAACAATCCTAACTCTAGGTTTTATACAAGTCTGGTCTTAAGGCTAAAGGCTGTGACCCGAAGCCCAGACTCTCTATGATGTTTGTTTGTTTTTAGAGGATAATATTTTCCTCTAATATTTCTTATTTTCTTATCATAGTTCTGCATGTCTGTGGAAACCACAATCACTCTGTTTTTTACATCATCAAGAAAGTGAATTACTGGACAGGTTTATACTTCATGTCTACCAATTCTCACATTCTGCTAGTACTCTGTTATTTCCAGCACATATGTCATGCCTGGAAGATAATAGTTGGGTCATATATCCTAATGTATATCAAAGCTATGGATTCTTCAAGTTCCAAAGTATAACTAAGCACCCTTAATTCTCCCTAAGTCTATTATCCTTACAATAAGCTCCTTCAGCTTCTAACTCTAAAATAAAGCTTTCATGCATTTAAAATTATGCTACTAGACATGCAAGGAGATCATAAGCCTGGGAATTCTGTCAAAAATCGGGCTACTAATATGTGATTACTGTAAGCTTTTATAATAGGACTGTATAACACCTTATATTTCTCATGCTTAATACTTTAATTCTTTTTATAAATTAATTATTTGGTGGATATCTTTTAGATGCCTGTTCATATGTAAAATCTTTATATAAATTATAAACTGCCTATATAGGAATTGTATATTTGTAATTTATTCTAAATAACACAAATATATTGTATATTGGGCAACCAAACACATACAATTACATAAATTAGCCAGAACTATGTGCTTGTTATTCAGTGAAATATTCTCTCTTTTAAAAAGTTAATTGAAAAATATTCATATTCACCATATGTAGTTACATTTTAAAATTGCATTCTTAGAATTAAATAAAACCAAGATGGCATTTTAAAAAAAAGAGTTTTAGACTTTTGTTCTCAGTTGCACCTTGAATAATATTATAAAGGAGCAAATGAACTTCTAATCTTTGTATTTCACTTTCCCCTTAATTGAAATCATTACTTGAAATAGAAAAACTAAATTACCAGTGTTTGCAAGAGAAATAATATGTTTAAGGGTATCTTAAGGTATACAGTTATCTCCCATAAGTTTTCAAGATAGTTATATTTAAATAGCATTATTATCAAGCAAATTTGAAAGAATCATTTTTACATGTTATCAGCACTAATAATAAAGAGGAGTCATACACCCTGTTCCCTCAGAGCCTAGATCTGCACAGCCAAAGGTTGCACTGAACATGTTCCTGTACTTTTATGCCACATGTCCTGTAAAAATTATGTTGAGGCTGATACCATTATTTAAAAATGTGTTTTCCATAAAATATATATTGGAAATGTATTCTGAGAAAATAATGCCAGAACTGGAAATAAATTTAAAGATGAAAACAACTTTTGTAAATAATATTCTCTTTCTCTCTGAAAAGTAACTAATCTTAAACTATATTCCATCAGGCTAAAACATGAAATATTGTAAGCACAAAATATGGAAGAAGACACATTCCTAAGGATGATAAAGTTAGACTGAGGGAAAACATCCCTCCTTAATTGGCACTAACAATTGCATTTGATTCTTAGTTCATACACACTAGCAATGTAAAAGTGAAAGTGGATAAACTCTACCTAATAGTAGTTGTTAATATGAGGGAAATATATGGGCAAAATTTGCAACATTAATATTCTGTCATGTACACAATTAGCATACATAATACTGTACATAGAATGATAACATATTTTGTTCAACTACATAGAATGAAGGGCACATGAAATCACTACTAACCTGAATAATTAGCTTGATTTTCTGTGACATTAATCAATAAGATTAGAAAGGAAGGTCTAACATTTATTTAGGAGTCTGGGCTCTGAAATTAGACTATCTGATTATAAATTTCAAAAACCATCTTGTGGCACTTACCAATGTCTCACAGTAAATACTAGCTATTATGTTTCTGTCTGTGTAAACATTTAAAATGGTGCATTTCAGTTAAAGGAATGGGAGCAAAAAGAAAAGAAAGGCACAGAGACTAATGCCAGTTGATGTTCATTAAAATGTTCCAAAGAAGGATTTGGGACCATTAGCAGATGCTAAGTATGATTTTTTGTGTGTGTGTCCTGTTGGCAAGGAGAGTTGTGTAGATAAATAAATCAGGCAATTTTAACTTAATGACATTACATGTTTGAGTCCTTTGTGGCTGAATGAACTTAAAAACACCAAGAGGCAAATCTGAGAAATAATACAAGATCTGACTGCAGGAGCAATAACTGGGATTTTGTTTTGCTGAGTATACAAGCTAAAGGAAGGATCAATATTACTCTGAAATATAAGCTAATATTTTAGAAGCTACAAGAAGGATAAAAAAGATGAGGAGAAATAAGATACCGTAACCTTGGGGAAAAAAAAAAACAGAGATTTTCTTAAATGGAATTTTGTAAATCTTTACTACTTTGCTTATGACATAAACCTTTTATTTAAAAACTCTCTCCTCATAAAATATTCTTTAAATATCTAGCTCTTGTTAATGCAATGGAAAGATGGATCTTCTTTGGGTATGTGTCAAACTGCTAAATCCATCCAAGTGGGAGAAGGGTGAGAACCAATTATGCCTATGTAGACATAACCACTTCTAGATCACACTTAGATCTAACTTGTCTTGTTCAAAGTTGAAGCTCCCAAAAAAGCAACATTCTAATTAAACATTGCCTTTTCATGTGGGTACCTCTACAACAAGAATATATTGCTGTTCACACAATATGACTATCCTGGTATTTGTTATATTCTTAATTTTAAAAGAATAAAACATAATCTTAATGTGACAAATGAATCTCTACATATTAAGTAATAAAATTTTACTCAGAAGGTGGATTTACTCTTTGTACTCTGAAAACAAAAAGAAAAGAGTCTTTCATGTTGAAAAAGATGTTCTGGCCAATGTCAAATGTATGAATGTAAATTCTAGGAAGAAGGGCTTTTGGCAGATATCTGAAAAATAAAGGCTGAAGCTCACAATGAACTTTTCCACCCATATTTCACTTTGGGAAATATATGATTAATATAGTTTGCAAAAAAAAATAGAGAACATTTAGAGAATATAGTCCAAAATGTCTGCAAATATGATAGAAGACTAATAGGAAATAATGTTATGGAATGAGGAGAAATGTAATATATTATTTTATCATGCCTGTATTCATCATGTTTAACTTATGCCACTTTATCTCCTACTGCTACATCTGATATATATAATGGGAGAATTCCCTGATTTCCCCTCACAGGACATGTGACAGGGGTGTGGCTCACCTGTTTGGTTGCCTTGCAGCTCAAACCCCTGAGGGGAGCATGCAGTTGGGCAGGTGCAGAGGCTGGGGCCAGTGTCTAGGGGTGGGTAACTGCAACCCCCGTGCTACAAAGGTCTTTCAGTTTTGCCATCTGCAGATTGCTTGATGGTAAATAAGCTCAATGGACCCTCTGCCTTATCGCAAGGGCAGAGGGCCAGTGTGACAGCCTTCTGTATCCTGAGCACTTGCCCCGTGTCCCAGAAGGATCCAATCACACGTGGGCTCAAAGGATGAGTGCAAGCTTTTATTGAATGTTGGAGGTGGAGCTCAGCAAGATGGATGGGGAGCTGGAAGGTGGAGGGGTCGGGGAGTTCTCTGCTGAACTCTCGATGTTCAGACGCTTCTTCCTTCCTTCTTTTCTGTGACACCCTGCTGCTGTCTACTGCTCTCTGCCACTCTCTGCCGCTCTGTTCCTCTGCTCCTCTTGACATTCAGCCACTTGTGTTGTGTGCCCCCTATAGTCTCGGGTTTATATGGGCACAGGATGGGGGTTGTGGCAGGCCAGAGTGGTCTTGAAAAATGCAACATTCGAGCATGAAAACAGGAATGCCTGTTCTCACTTAGGTCCATGGGTACAGGCCCAAGGGTGGCCAGGGACTCCACCCTCTCTACCCAACAATTTCTTGGCCCCCTCCCGTATTATATATATAGATATATAGATAGATAGATACACACACACATTTATATAAAAATATCAGTAGTAGCAAATCATAAAGCAGAAATGTATCCCAAGATAGTTTCTTCAAACTTACAATTAGACCTTCCCTCAAACACATGAAAGTGTAAGAAACTGTCAGAAGAGCAAGATACTATCTTTATTAAATGTTATTCCATGGATACTTTGTGAGAATAATTAAGTTTGAGGAGAGCCATTATTGTATATCAATAAGTGATCATCAAGAAATATTTTTTAATCATATATCATAAAATTAATTGTTCTTTATGCTGCTTTACTTAAAAATTTTTCTTCTCCACAAAATCTTCTGCTGTATAACTGAACCTAAATTATTATTTCAGTGACACATACTGGAAACTAGATTGTCTTCCCAGGAAAATGTCTACAGAATTAATCTTTTTTATTACAAAAAATTAATAATAAACTAAGCTTCCAGCAATCCAAGAAAAAACCATATGATTGTGAAATTTTGTACTCCAATAAATATCCCAGATCATCTTATGGAACTTCAGAATGTTACTCCAGGACATCAGTTTATCCAAGCTTTTATATTAGGCAAAAGCATTTTCCTAACTTCATTCTCGTATTCTCTTTTTACTAATAGCAATATATACATATATATACACACATATATATACACACATATATATATACACATATATACACACATATATATACACATATATACATATATACACATATATACACACATACACATATATACACACATATATATACACATATAGATATATACACACACACACATATATATAAAGAACATTAGGGAACAAAGATGTAGTGGTGTCATAAATGATAACTGATTAAATGTTTCAGCTTTTAAACATTAGGGTTTGTCAGATGGTGGGGTCAGAAGACAAGGTGTTCAATACTTGGCTTTTAAATATATTTCCTTATATGTGCAAAGAACAAAGGGAATTACATGAAAATGACTTAAAACAAGGGTTTGAGATAGAGGCTATGTGTGTGTATGTGTTTGTGTGTTAAGCTCAGTATTATGATCAAAGCTATAATGAGCAAGAAGTCTTCTAAGACATGTACATCCATTGGCGGAATTGTTTCCACCCTTAATATCTTCACTTAACCCCTACATAAGAATGATACCATCTATCTGAAAAGCACATCGCAAAGGAATGTTATTCTCCAGCAAGAGAATAATCTTGTAAAAATCATGATATTCAAATGATAAAAAATTAAGCTGTTTATTTTTTATAGCAAAACTCAATGAGATATTTAATAAGTCAACAGATTCCAAAAATATTTAAATTCTGGTTAGGCAAGCATTCATTTGTTTACCTCTTTGTGTTTTAAAACTGAAATATTAACAGAATTAAATTTTAGAAATCCAAGGGAATCTGTATATTTTAAAGCATATACTAAGGACAAAAAAAAATACGTTACAAAAAATTATTTTTAAAGGCATTTTTTTCCTCTGAGAATTTGAAAATAAACAAATTGAATTAAATCATCTTACATTTGAAGGCTTAATTCAAAATATTATCTCTGTGTATTTTAGAAATACTTGCATAAAATATGTCCAGTTGCCTTCTCAGGGATGGTATTCTAAAAGTACTTTTCTACTTTCATCTAAATATTGAAACAGATGTCAAATAATGTCAAAAACAATGAACTGTCTAGTAAGCTCAAGAAAGTCAGAGTTAGAATATAAATTTTTTTCTGATGTTGAGTAAGATGTTTTCTGATGCTAGTTTGTTGAAAACTTTCCTGAAGCCTTTGAGCTCAAAAAAATTTTTATACTTTAAAAAAAAAATATTCAGTAGGACTTCAACTTTAAGGAACCAGTCCAGGGAGATATTTGTCAGGACACAGTGAGACAGATAAATAGCAAGAACCGACTTTCTATGCTTTAACGAAATATATATTTTATAACCTACAATGGCTAAGAATTTATGTAAGAAATAAAATTGTATTCATTGGTTTAATAAAACTAGAAACACACTCATAGACACGCACGCCATCATCATCATCTTTCATTAAACCGTGTATGGTTTACAGAAATTTTTGTTGATATAGTTTTCTCTTTTCATAGAATATATTACATTTATAGTAATTATTTCAAAATTCAGATGTGTGAACACCATGGGATACCCCCAAAAACTGCACTGGGGTGTGGGAAAATTTTGAAACGGCTTGTGCTTGCCATTTATCTAACTATAATTTTTACTTGTGTTCACTTCATAATGTGTATAGGATATAAATATGCCTGTGTAAAATTTAGGGATAAATCTGGATGCTTTTATTGGTAGCACTTTCTCAAAAATGCATGGGATGCTGCTTCAACAAAGTTTGCAGAGTATGTGTTTACAGAACTAGAAAGTTGGACATAGTTTTCACAAAATGTAACTATATAACTGCTTCTATCCCTCTTGGTCTCCTCTGACTTAATGGATGATCTGATAACTCCCAGCAATATGGTTAAATCTAATTGCTATTTCTTGTTTCCATAGGGATAATCATTTCAGGGACGGGTTCCTTGTAGGGATAGAGGTACAATTACTGAAATGCTCTATTGCCACTCAAAGTTAAGTGATGAAAAATAGTAAACATCTAGCCCTCAATTGTATTCTCTGTGTTTTTTTTTTTAAATTCAAGACGCTGTATTTTCCCACACAGTTTATCCCATTGAGATAAATGCAATTTGAATTAAAACTTTGAAGGCAAGGACTCTGTTTGGTTATCTTTGATGTAATTCCTTTGAACATATGTGTTGACTGAAGAAAGGCTAATTCTACCAAACTCAACTCTAGTATTATCTGGGCTTTACATGGGGTGATTAGCATAAAGGGAGGTAAGTAAAATTTATAAAAATTAATAAATTCCAATTATGCTATAGCAGAATAAGCCCACTATAGCCTATCTTTTTTGCTGTTTATAATTATAAATCCTGGACAAATTACAAAAAGTAAATACCGAAGACTGAAATGAAGTCACTGGGTTTCTACTGTTAGAAAAAGAAACACCTTCTTTAGATGTTTACACAGACAGAAAAATAATGACTCATTTATTTTGAGACATTGGTAAGTGCCACAATATAGTTTTTGAAATTTAAAATCCAGATAGCCTAATTTCAGAGCCCAGACTCTTAAATAGCAGTTATATATTCCTCTCTAGTCTTGTAAATCAAACAAAAAAAGTAAAATGCACTTCATTTCTGCATCGAAAAACACAGAAAAAGAAAGCAAGCTAGAATATTATGGATGGCAAAGATTGCTTGTTTTGGTTTTTGGTTGTTGTTTGGTCCTTTTTCTCTCATGACTTTGCCCTGAGGGAATGCTCTGGTCATAAAGTTGTGCATTGGAGAAATAGTGCAGATGGCAAAAACTTTAATTTAAAAACAAACTTTCTTTTTTGTCATAATAATTTGGAAGAGGCACCCCGAATGACCAGAGTGCCCCTGCACAGAGTCCCCACTGGGGCACTGCCTAGTGGAGCTGTGGGAATGGGAACATCACCCTCTAGACCCAAGAATCTGGCAGAACCACTGGCAGTTTGCAATCCCAGCCTGGAAGGGACACAGACATTTAACTCCAATTCATGAAAGCAGCTACAGGGTCACCCTGCAAAGCCGCAGAGGCAGAACTACCCAAGGCCTAGGGAGCCCACCCCTTGCACTAGTGTGCCCTGGATGCGGCCATGGAGTCAAGGATTATTCTGGAGCTTTAAGATTTAATGACTGCCCTGCAGGGGTTTCAGACTTGCATGGGGCTTGTTGTCCTTTTCATTTGTATGATTTATCCCTTTTGGAATGGGAAAGTTTACTCAATGCTTGTACCACCATTGTATCTTGGAAATAAATAACTTGGTTTTATGTGAAAGAATTGACGAGGTCCCTATGAAGACTGTTAAATTCCACCTTTGAAGTCAATATCAGTTTCCAGACACATGTGTGTGTGACTGTTCAAATAATTTAATAGTAGGTATTCCTTGGCTTCAAAGAGTGAGATAATTATTAATGTTTTTGCTCCCAAAATCATGTAGTGTATTATCTACAAGCTAGGAAGATCACACACTCAGGTTTGTATGTAATATTTCTGATTTATGTCTTTTTTTCCAGGATCTTGTTTAGTTTTACTTTTTTTTATACATTTTCATTTTTAATTAAGTATTAATAGTTGCATTAAAATAGTCTACAATGGATTCATTAGTCTTTTCTTTTTTTGAGACAGAGTCTTGCTCTTGCACTGTCACCCAGCCTGGAGTGCAGTGGTGCAATGTTGTTCACTGTAGCCTCAACCTCCCAGGCTCAAGCTATCCTCTCACCTCAGCCTCCTGAGTAGCTGGGACTATAGGCATGTGCCATGACACCTGGCTGATTTTTTTTTTTTTTTTTTGTAGACATGGGGTTTGGCCATTCTTGATTTAACAATGGAGTAAACAGACATTCAATATGGCCAAATAGGAACAGCACTGGTCTGCAGCTCCCAGTGAGACTGATGCAGAAGGCAGGTGATTTCTGCATTTCCAACTGAGGTACCCAGTTTATCTCACTGGGCCTGGTTGGACAGTGGGTGCAGCCCATGGAAAGCGAGCCGAAGCAGGGTGGGGCATTGCCTCACCTGGGAAGCACAAGGGTTCGGGGAATTCCCCCCGCTACCCAGGGGAAGCCGTCAAGGTCTGAGCCTGAGGAACTCCGGCACAGATACTGCACTTGTATCACGGTCTTCACAACCTGCAAACCAAGAGATTCCCTCTGGTGACTACTCCACCCGGGCCCTGGGTTTCAAGCACATCACTGGGTGGCCAATTGGGCAGACAACGAACTAGCTGCAGGAGTTGTTTTGTTTTGTTTTGTTTTGTTTTTCCCATGCCACAGTGGCGCCTGGAATGCCAGTGAGACAGAACCTTTCCTCCCCTGGAAAGGGGGGCTGAAGCCAGGGATCCAACTGGTCTGGTTCAGCAGGTCCCACCCCCATGGAGCCCAGGAAACTAAGATCCACTGGCTTGAAATTCTGGCTGCCAGCACAGCAGCAATCTGAGATCCACATGGGATGGTCGAGCTTGGTGGGGGAAGGGGCGTCTGCCATTGCTGAGGCTTGAGTAGGCAGTTTTAGGGCCACAGTGTAAACAAAGCTGCCGGGAAGTTCAAACTGGGCAGAGCCCACTGCAGCTCAGCAAGGATGCTGTGGCTAGACTGTCAGATTGCTCCTCTATGGACAGGACATCTCTGTAAAAAAGGCAGCAGCCCCAGTCAGGGGCTTATGGCAGACTTAAACATCCCTGCCTGATGGCTCTGAAGAGAGCAGCAGACCTCCCAGCAGAGCGTTCGAGCTCTGCTGAGGGTCAGTCTGTCTCCTCAAGTGGGTCCCTGACCCCTGTGTATACTGACTGGGAGACACCTCCCAGTTGGGGCCGACAGATACCTCATACAGGAGGGCTCTGGTTGGCATCTGGCAGGTGCCCCACTGGGTCGAAACTTCCAGAGGAAAGAACAGGTAGCAATCTTTGCTGCTCTGCAGCCTCCACTGGTGATACCCAGGCAAACAGGGTTGGGAGTGGACCGCCGGCAAACTCCAGCAGACTGGCAGCAGAGGGGCCTGAATGTTAGAAGGAAAAGAAACAAACAGAAAGGATTAGCACGTCCACTCAAAGACCCCATCCAAAGGTCACCAACATCAAAGACCAAAGGTAGATAAATCCACAAAGATGGGGAAAAGCCAGTGCAAAAAGGCTGAAAATTCCAAAAACCAGAATGCCTCTCCTCCTCCAAAGGATCACAACTCATCTCCAGCAAGGGAACAAAACTGGACAGAGAATGAGTTTGATGAACTGACAGAAGTAGGCTTCAGAAGGTGGGTAATAACAAACAACTCCGAGCTAAAGGAGCATGTTCTATCCCAATGCAAGGAAGCTAAGAATCTTGAAAAAGGTTAGTCAAATTGCTAAGTAGAATAACCAATGTAGAGAAGAACATAAATGACCTGATGCAGCTGAAAAATACAGCACGAAAACTTTGTGAAGAATACACAAGTATCAACAGCCGAGTCAATCAAGCAGAAGAAAGGATATCAGTGATTGAAGGTCAGCTTAATGAAATAAAGCATGAAGACAAGATTAGAGAAAAAAGAATAAAAAGGAATGAACAAAACCTCCAAGAAATATGTGAAAAGAACAAACCTACGTTTGATTGGTGTACCTGAAAGTGACAGGGAGAATGGAACCAAGTTGGAAAACACTCTTCAGGGTATTATCCGGGAGAACTTCCCCAACCTAGCAAGACAGGCCAACATTCAAATTCAAGAAATACAGAGAACACCACAAAGATAATCCTTGAGAAAGCAACCCAAAGCCCATAATCATCAGATTCACCAAGGTTGAAATGAAGGAGAAAATGTTAAGGGCAACCAGAGAGAAAGGTCTGGTTACCCACAAAGGGAAGCCCATCACACTAACAGTAGATCTCTCTGCAGAAACCCTACAAGCCGGAAGAGTGTGGGGGCCAATATTCAACATTCTTAAAGCAAATAATTTTCAAACCAGAATTTCATATACAGGCAAAGTAAGCTTCATAAGCAAAGGAGAAATAAAATCCTTTACAGACAAGCAAATGCTGAGGGATTTTGCAACCACTAGAACTGCCTTACAAGAGCTCCTGAAAGAAGCACTAAACATGGAAAGGAACAACTGGTACCAGCCACTGCAAAAACATACCAAATTGTAAAGAACATTGACACTATGAAGAAACTGCATTAACTAATGGTCAAAACAACCAGCTAGCATCATAATGACAGGATCAAATTCACACATAATAATATTAACCTTAAATGTAAATGGGCTAAATGCCCCAATTAAAAGGCACAGACCAGACTGGCAAATTGGATAGAGTCAAGACCCATCAGTGTGCTGTCTTCAGGAGCCCCATCTCATGTGCAAAGACACACATAGGCTCAAAATAAAGGGATGGAGGAATATTTACCAAGCAAATGGAAAGCAAAAAAAAAGCAGGAGTTGCAAACCTAATCTCTGATAAAACAGACTTAAAATGAAAAAAAGACCAAAAGAGACAAAGAAGGGCATTACATAATAGTAAAGGGAACAATGCAGCAAGAAGAGCTAACTATCCTAAATATATATGCACCCAATACAGGAGGACCCAGATTCATAAAGCAAGTTCTTAGAGACCTACAAAGAGACTTAGACTCTCACACAATAACAGTGGGAGACTTTAACACCCCACTGTCAGTATTGGACAGATCAACAAGACAGAAAATTAACAACGATGTTCAGGACTTGAACTTAGCTCTAGACCAAGTGGAACCAATAGACCTCTACAGAACTCTCCACCCCAAATCAACAGAATATACATTCTCTTCAGCACCTCATTGCACTTATTCTAAAAAGGACCACATAATTGGAAGTAAAACACTCCTCAGCAAATGCAAAAGAATGGAAATCATAACAAACAGTCTCTCAGACCACAGTGCAATCAAATTAGAACTCAGGATTAAGAAACTCATTCAAAACCACACAAATACATGGAAAATGAACAACCTGCTCCTGAATGACTACTGTGTAAATAACAAAATTAAGGCAGAAATAAATAAGTTCTTCAAAACCAATGAGAATGAAGACACAACGTACCAGAATCTCTGGGACACATTTAAAGCAGTGTTTAGAGGAAAATTTATAGCACTAAATGCCCACAACAGAAAGCAGGAAATATCTAAAATTGACATCCTAACATCAAAATTAAAAGAACTAGAGAAGCAACAGCAAACAAATTCAAAAGCTAGCAGAAGACATGAAACAACTAAGATCAGAGCAGAACTGAAGGAGTTAGAGACACAAATAACCCTTCAAAAAATCAATGAATCCAGGAGCTGCTTTTTGAAAAAAATCAACAAAATAGATAGATTGCTAGCCAGATTAATAAAGGAGAAAACAGAGAAGAATCAAATAGATGCAATAAAAAATGATATAAGGGATATCACCACTGATCTCACAGAAATATGTGGGTATTCCCATCAGAGAATACTGTAAACACCTCTACACAAATAAACTAGAAAATCTAGAAGAAACGGATAAATTCCTGGACACATACACCCTCCCAAGTCTAAGCCAGGAAGAAGTCGAATCCCTGAATAGACCAATAACAAGTTCTGAAATTGAGGCAGTAATTAATAGCCTACCAACCAAAAAAAGTCCAGGATGAGATGGATTTGCATCTGAATTCTACCAGAGGTACAAAGAGGAGCTGGTAACATTCCTTCTGAAACTATTCCAAACAATAGAAAAAGAGGGAATCCTCCCTAACTCATTTTATGAGGCCAGCATTGTCCTGATACCAAAACCTGGCAGAGACACAACAAAAAAAGAAAATTTCAGGCCAATATCCCTGATGAACATTGATGTGAAAATTGTCAAAAGAATACTGGCAGGCCAGGTGTGGTGGCTCATGCCTGTAATCCCAGCACTTTGGGAGGCTGAGGCGGGCGTATCACAATATCAGGAGATTGAGAACATCCTGGCTAACATGGTGAAACCCTGTCTCTACTAAAAATACAAAAAAAAAAAAATTAGCTGGGTGTAGTGATGGATGCCTGTAGTCCCAGCTACTCGGGAGGCTGAGGCAGGAGAATGGCGTGAACCCAGAAGGCGGAGCTTGCAGTGAGCCAAGATCACGTGACTGCACTTGAGCCTGGGTGACAGAGCGAGACCCTGTCTCAAAAAAAAAAAAAAGAATACTGGCAAACTGAATCCAGCAGCACATCAAAAAGCTTATCTACCACAATCAAGTTGGCTTCATCCCTGAGAAGCAAGGCTGGTTCAACATATGCAAATCAACAAAAGTAATCCATCACATAAACAGAACCAATGACAAAAAAACATGATTATCTCAATAGATGCAGAAAAGGACTTCAATAAAATTCAACACCCCTTCATGCTAAAAACCCTCAATAAACTAGGTATTGATGGAACGTATCTCAAAATAATAAGAGCTATTTATGACAAACCCACAGCCAATATCACACTGAATGGGGAAAACTGGAAGCATTCCCTTTGAAAACTGGCACAAGACAAGGATGCCCTCCCTCACCACTCCTATTCAACATTGTATTGGAAGTTCTGGCAAGGGCAATCAGGCAAGAGAAAGAAATAAAGCGTATTCAGATAGGAAGAGAGGAAGTCAAATAGCCTCTGTTTGCAGATGACATGATTGTATATTTAGAAAATCCCATCATCGGCCCAAATCCTCCTTAAGCTGATAAGCGACTTCGGCAAAGTCTCAGGATACAAAATCAATGTACAAAAATCACAAGCATTCTTATACACCAATAACAGACAAACAGAGAGCCAAATCATGAGTGAACTCCCATTCACAATTGCTTCAAAGAGAATAAAATACTTAGGAATCCAACTTACAAGGGACGTGAAGGACCTCTTCAAGGAGAACTACAAACCACTGCTCAATGAAATAAAAGAGGATACAAACAAATGGAAGAACATTCCATGCTCATGGATAGGAAGAATCAATATCGTGAAAACGGCCATACTGCCCAAGGTAATTTATAGATTCAATGCCATCCCCATCAAGCTACCAATGACTTTCTTCACAGAATTGGAAAAAACTACTTTAAACTTCATATGGAACCAAAAAAGGGCCCGCATAGCCAAGACAATCTGGGCAAGAAGAACAAAGCTGGAGGCATCACGCTACCTGACTTCAAACTATACTACAAGGCTACAGTAACCATAGCAGCAGGTTACTGGTACCAAAACAGATATATAGACCAATGGAACAGAACAGAGGCCTCAGAAATAACACCACATAGCTACAACCGTCTGATCTTTGACAAACCTGACACACACAAGCAATGGGGAAAAGATTCCTTATTTAATAAATGGTGTTGGGAAAACTGCCTAGCCATATGCAAAAAACTAAAACTGGACCCCTTCCTTACACCTTTTATAAAAATCAACTCACGATAGATCAAAGACTTAAACGTAAGACCTAGGACCATAAAAATCCTAGAACAAAACCTGGACAATACCATTCAGGACACAGGCACGGGCAAAGACTTCATGTCTGAAACACCAAAAGCATTGGCAACGAAAGCCAAAATAGACAAATGGCATCTAATTAAACTAAAGAGCTTCTGCACAGCAAAAGAAACTATCATCAGAGTGAACAGGCAACCTACAGAATGGGAGAAAATTTTTGCAATCTATCCATCTGACAAAGAGCTAATATCCAGAATCTACAAAGAACGTAAATAAAATTACAAGAAAAAAACAACCCCATCAAAAAGTGGGTGAAGGATATGAACAGACACTTCTCAAAAGAAGACACTTATGCAGCCAACAGACATATGAAAAAATGCTCATCATCACTGATCATTAGAGAAGTGCAAATCAAAACCACAATAGGATACCATCTCACACCAGTTAGAATGGGGATCATTAAAAATTCAGGAAACAACAGATGCTGGAAAGGTTGTGAAAAAATAGGAGCACTTTTACACTGTTGGTGGGAGTGTAAATTAGTTCAACCATTGTGGGAGACAGTGTAGTGATTCCTCAAGGATCTAGAACTGGAAATACCATTTGACCCAGCAATTCCTTTACTGGGCATATACCCAAAGGATTATAAATCATTCTATGATAAAGACACATGCACACATATGTTTATTGCGGCACTATTCACAATAGCAAAGACTTGGAACCAACCCAACTGTCCATCAATGATAGACTGGATTAAGAAAAAGTGGCACATATACACCATGGAATACTATGCAGCCATAAAAAAGGATGAGTTCATGTCCTTTGCAGGGACATGGATGAAGCTGGAAACCATCATTCTCAGCAAACTATCACAAGATCAGAAAACCAAACACCACCTGTTCTCACTCATAATTGGGAGTTGGACAATGAGAACACATGGACACAGGGAGGGGAACATCACAAACCGGGGCCTGTTGCGGGGTGGGGGGTTAGGGGAAGGATAACATTAGGAGAAATACCTAATGTAGGTGACGGGTTGATGGGTGCAGCAAACCACCAGGGCACGTGTATACCTATGTAACAAAACTGCATGTTCTGCACATGTAACCCACAACTTAAAGTATAATAAAAAAAATTGGAGTATACAATAAGTATATACAAATTGCATTAGATTGAATTGATTATATTATTCAACTGGGTATATATTAAAATTGCTTTTTGATTGGAGAAGTTCATACATGTCAAAATTTTCAATGATCCGATATCAGAAACACAGTTTTATTATAACATCTTGTTTTGATATATACAATAAAAAGACTATGTTACAATAACTATAACAAGATCCCTATGCTATTTATTTTATTTATTTTCATTTTTGGATTAGTGACATAAGGGAGAAACATTATGTCCAAGTTTTTTGTTGTTATTGTTTATTACATAATTAGAAATAATTGTTACATTGAACAGTAGTATTGTTCAGTTTAGCTAGTACCAAGGTTGGAAAATCCTTCAGCAACATAAAAATACCAGGTTGATGGTGCTGGTATATTAATAATATGCAAGTGGTTAGTTATTAGGCAGAAACAATGTCATTTTAAAATACCCCAAAAGTTATAAGTTAAATCCTATTCATTTCTTGTACTCTTAAGAATTCAGGTCAATAATTTCTCTGAAGACCTTGTGAAACTTTGGGTTACTACAGTTGGCAAGGAGACAGTTAGGTCTAGAACTTAGTTGCTTGGCAGGGTTCAGAAACTAATTTTTGTGAACTGAAATTGCCATTCAAAAATGTTTTTTATTCATTTGGATGCATTTAGAGATGCCCTTTCTCACTACTTCTCATTCCTATGATAAATGTTTGATATGTTGGCTTCCTCCAGAATATATGGAAGTTTCTATTATTACATTCGTTTATTTAACCTACTAAAGCAATAAGGCATGAAAAGGGCTTCTGTCGTATGCTTCGGTGGCATTATTATTTATAAGCACATCTCCAGTGGTTGATGTCAATGAAATCGTTATTTGGTTATTACTGTTCTCCAACAATTAGTTCACAGCAAAATAAGTATAATTTAAAATATATAGAGAGTTTTAAAATGCAAGTAAAAAAGAATAAATTCCCAATACATCTGTTGCCTAACATACTTTAAAAATGTTTCTTTCTTTTGAGAATTTAGGCTTAAAAATATGTTTCATTCTAAATCCCAGCATAAGCTGGCTATAATGATTAGGGTACACGTGTAAAATCTGGGTTTTTCTAAGGATTGCAATGGGACCCTCCTCTAACTTGAAATAGTATTTATGTATGTTGGAATTTCTAGCTTTGGCAAAGCTTTATCTTGGAATACCACAAACTTTGTCGGTATGAGATTCCTTCAGACAAAGAAGAAAATGGGCATGACAGACACATATCACTGATAATCTAACCTGTCACAGAAGGAGCTCTTTGGCACAATATACGGCAACAGAATTACCTTTGTACCATCCCACTGAGGGATATAATTTCCTGTCTGAGGAACTGCTGTGAGAGGTGATATATTCAATGTTGCAGATGTTCCACATTCAAACACACAGGGTAGATTTCACAAAAGCTAACTCTAACAACGAATCTGTTATTATAACTGAAGGATCATGATATGTTCATTTCATGCCAAAAATATCATTTTTGATTGCCATCTCAAATAACTAAGAAAAAAGTGAAATAGTATTATCTTTGATGGACAGTGGGGGGAAGAGTCTTAGCTTTGTTAATTGAAAGCAGCTAAGTTTTATAAACTGTCTATTTTATTAGCTGCACAATCATGAATTCCACTTACAAAAATGTTGGAATGTCAGGGAAAGATGAATCATATCTCACTCTAGAGATTATTATAATTAAGTCAGAAGTATAGGCAAGACTTATCATAGGCATTTATTTATAAACAATTAAAATTTATAGGAATTTTCTTGGAAAGCTATACAATTTTCCATAATTATCTTATATAGTGGTTTACTGAATGTCTTCATAATTATCCTATGTTATAATTAACACCTTAAGTTAACTTCCTTAGTTTCTTTTATCCTGGAAGTTGGTCACCTGACCAAATAAAATCCTGATTTTTTCAGGTACTTTCAAAATCATAAAATACTTATTCGGGAAAAATAACTTTGGTATTATATTGTAATATTCATGCACGTTCATAACAGCTGCTTTTAGAGTCTCTTGAATTATTATTTTGTTTATTAAAGATCAAATTATTCTCTGAGATCTTTATGAAATACCCATAGTGTGTAAAAACATCATGGTCACCTTATCAACTGTGATTCTCCTTTCATAGTGAAGATTCTGCTAACACACTACATTGACTTGGAAGTAAAGCTTTTCTTGTTGGATTATTGGATTTTCTGTCTCTAATACACACACACAAGCACATACACAGGTATGCATGCACACACACTCCTGTTACGATTCAAACCCATTACTGCTCTTTTGTTTAGTAGACTACTTAACATGGTTGGCAAAAAGGAGGATGTAAAATAATTTCTAACATTACCTCACATATTTCTATTAAAAGTTTAATTACTTCATAGTCGTGCATGTTATTCTAATTCAATACAACATTTTGCTTGTTACTATAATTTTAGATTCTTAATTCTTTAAAGTTTTCATAAGCGTATTGTATAAAACTTAATGATTATCTGGGGAAAAAACAGAAAACTGAGGATATCTTTAATTAAGAGTAAAACAGTAAAAGTTTATATTATGATGTAGAGGTAAAAATTAATGTTCATATAAGTGCTTTATATTAAATTTACAGTAGCATGCAAAAAGAGCCCCTTTTTATACCTTTTACAAAATTATCATTGATTTCAATACTTTCTTATTAAACTTTTTCTAAATTATATCCTCAAAAGCTAAAGAAAGAACTTTAAGATACTTTAGGCTGTCTTTAGGATAATAAGGAAAAAAATAGCATTTCTGAAAAGATAGTAAAAGTAAAAATAAATTATAAATTATAACATTTTTCATTATATTATATAATAAGCCAAGAAATTAATCTCTGTTCAGGATTTTAATATTTGAGAACTCCCTGCTCTATAACATGAATAATTATCCTATAAAAAGCAATCATTTACTATACATTGGTATAACAAGGAATTACAGGTTGCAATATATAGAATATCTAGTAGAAAAATGCTGGTCACCCATTGTTATTGTCTGTTTTATATAAAGAAATGCAAACTTAAAAGTCCAAATACTGCTAGTATCATTGAAGTAAAGAACATTGCTAAAATAAGGTTAAAACATTATTGAAAGTGAAAATGAGCTCAAAATAGGTTTAAATACAGCTATGTTCTAAGTCATATTTATCACATTTCCAATTTGCATCTTATAGAAAGCATTAAGTACCATTCCAGATTAGACTTTTGGACTATCCAACCTGTTATTCGGCCTGTACAAATGACAGCACAACTATATCAGGAAAGACCCTGTTTGACCTCATAGATTTCTTCCTTAATGGTTTCGGCCAGTGAATTTTACTTTTCCTTTAAAATTGATCTTGGCTTAGTTATCTATAATTTTTTGAAGTCCTTTTGAATTACGTTTCAGTCTATTCTATATCATGAGGTTCTAAAAACACAAAGTAACCATCCATAACTCCTTAAATAATCAATTATAATTGTATGCGTTCTCATGTGACAAACCACATTCTTTGATCTACTTTCAGTTATCTTCTACCTGTTGCAAAAGATATGACATCTTTCTAGTAAATCCACATTATCTTACTCTTACTGTCCTCATTTTACCACGATGAACTAAAAAAGCCAAAAGGTAAATGGCAGATTTTTAACAGTAAACACATATACACAAAGTGCCATTTCTTAAAAAAAATAATTATAATACAAGTGCCTAGGTCCTTGAAATATATTAGGTGAAATAGAAATAGAACTAAATTTGGTCAAATGTAAGAGTTGAGATTATTTGAAAATCGAAAACTAATGTTTTCAGTGACCGAATGTAAACTTACTGAAGTGACTAAATCATGGCACACAAAGTATGCCCCTGCTAGCTGAGGAGACTATAGATAAAATATATTATTTGCCTTAGTGTTCATTTAATAAAATATCCAGGAAAATTCCACTCCAATGTTTTCCCTTCATTGAGATACACTGTATACATTAAAGCATGTTATAATACATGTAAAAGGCATTCTTGTTCTAATAAATAAGCTAAAGTAAAATCCCTGGTATTATATATCTAGTATAGTTTGAGATATATGAAAGAACACGAGTGAAGATATCCCTTATGACTACATTGTTTATAAATGTGCTCTTATGCCAGAGGATTAAGAAACATTGAAATGAAATCCCATTCTAAGAATATCTTTAATACGAAATTCTTGAAGTACACACTGATGAATCTCACTTTCACATCAATCAAGAGAGACAGAGTGAGGGGCTGGGTGGAGGGATCACTGAAAAGAACAACTTTATTCATAACCAGTTATGTCTTATTCCTTATTAGAGCCACCCTATGGACTTCCTATTCATCCTGAGAGGTGACAGCGTGCTGGCAGTCTTCACGGCCCTCGCTCGCTCTCAGGGCCTCCTCTGCCTGGGCTCCCACTTTGGCAGCACTTGAGGAGCCCTTCAGCCTGCCACTGCACTGTGGGAGACCCTTTCTGGGCTGGCCAAGGCCGGAGCCGGCTCCCTCAGCTTGCAGGGAGATGTGGAGGGAGAGGTGCGAGCGGGAACCGGGGCTGTGCACCGAGCTTGCGGGCCAGCTGGAGTTCCGGGTGGGCGTGGGCGTGGGCTTGGCAGGCCCCGCACTCGGAGCAGCCGGCCGGCCCTGCCCGCCCCAGGCAATGAGGGGTTTAGCACCCAGGCCAGCAGCTGCGGAGGGTGTACTGGGTCCCCCAGCAGTGCCGGCCCACCGGGCCTGTGCTCAATTTCTCACCAGGCCTTAGCTGCCTCCCGGCGGGGCAGGGCTCAGGACACGTAGCCTGCCATGCCTGAGGCTCCCCGCCCCCACCCGCCCCGTGGGCTCCTGTGCCGCCCAAGCCTCCCCGGTGAGCGCCGCCCCCTGCTCCACGGTGCCTAGTCCCATCGACCACCCAAGGGCTGAGGAGTGCAGGCACATGGCACGGGACTGGCAGGCAGCTCCACCTGCAGCCCTGGTGTGGGATCCACTGGGTGAAGCCAGCTGGGCTCCTGAGTCTGGTGGTGAGGTGGAGAACCTTTATGTCTAGCTCAGGGATTGTAAATACACCAATCAGCACCCTGTGTCTAGTTCAGGGTTTGTGAGTGCACCAATCAGCACCCTGTGTCTAGCTCAGGGTTTGTGAATGCACCAATCAACACTGTATCTAGCTACTCTGGTGGGGACTTGGAGCACCTTTGTGTGGACACTCGGTATCTAGCTAATCTGGTGGGGATGTGGAGAACCTTTGCGTCTAGCTCTGGGATTGTAAACGCACCAATCAGCGCCCTGTCAAAACAGACCACTCAGCTCTACCAATCAGCAGGATGTGGGTGGGACCAGATAAGAGAATAAAAGCAGGCTGCCCGAGCCAGCAGTGGCAACCTGCTCGGGTCCCCTTCCACGCTGTGGAAGCTTTGTTCTTTCGCTCTTTGCAATAAATTCTGCTGCTGCTCACTCTTTGGGTCCACACTGCCTTTATGAGCCATAACACGGCAAAGGTCTGCAGTTTCACTCCTGAGGCGGCGAGACCATGAACGCACCAGAAGGAAGAAATTCCGAACACATCCGAACAACAGGAGGAACAAACTCCAGACGCGCCACCTTAAGAGCTGTAACACTCACCACGAGGGTCCACGGCTTCATTCTTGAAGTCAGTGAGACCAAGAACCCACCAATTCCGGACACAATCCTACATCTTTTGACTGTATATTTCCGTCATTCCAAATAGATTAATAAAAATGTATCTTTCTTAAGAAAAAAACCAAACACCGCATGTTTTCACTCATAAGTGGGAGTTGAACAATGACAACACAGGGACACACGCAGGGGAACATCACACACTGGGGACTGTCAGGGGGTCGGGGACAAGACAAATATCTAATGCACGTGGGGCTTAAAACCTAGATGATGGGTTGATAGGTGCAGCAAACCACCATGGCACATGTATACCTATGTAACAAACCTGCACATTCTGCAATGTATACCTATATAACAAACGTGCATATTCTGCACATGTGTCCAAGAACTTAAAGCAAAATTTAAAAAGAAACTTACAGAAGAAAACACAGGAAAATATCTTCATTATACCTAGGCAATGACAGATTTCTTAAATAAGGCACAAAGAGCACAACTCATAAAGGAAAACTAACAAATTTGCATATAATAACATTTGAAATTTTGTATGACAAAAGACACCATCAATAAACTAAAAAGAGATGCACAAATTGGAAGAATTTAGCAATTCATATAGCAAAATAATTGTAATACAATTTATGAAGAACTGCCACTGGATAAGTAAGGCAAAGCAGAAAGGAAAAATTAAGCAATTGATTTCAACAGAAGAGGAAAAAATGAGTGGCAAAAGAAAAATATGTAAAGGTGTTCAATTTTGCTATTAATCAGACAAAGGCAAATGAATAATGCTAGGCTGTTTTATAGCTATTGGCTTGAGAAAAATTGAAAATTGATATTATGTATTGGTAAAAGTGTAGAGGAATAGAAATTCTTGTACACTTCTGGAAATATAAATGACTCCCAATACTTTGGAAGAAAAAAAAAAAAGGAAAAAGAAAAAATCCTAACCAAGATATTCTCAATGCTATCTTCACCCTTTCACTTCCACAAGACCATTGTTTCAGAAACTCTTTATCAGGTTTTACATAGTTCTCAAACTCAAATAACATGGAATTGGTGGTTATGTTTTCCAAACTTAGTTTCTTTAGAAAATTATCGCCTTTTCTCTCCACAAAGTGAAGTAGATTATAGCTTCCTAAATTTCACTCTTATAGAAAAAAACATGCATAAAGAAGCTACAACTTCAAAGTGGTTAAAGCCTGGTGGAATCACAAACACAGTTGGTCCTTTTATATGAAAAAAAGTACATTTATTTGGCAAAAATTTCAACAATAAAAATTCTGTTGTATATAGCAACTGCTTCTTCTCCATGTTTGTAGCACAAAACCGAGAACAGTTCTCCCCAATTTCTTTCGATATAATAGAGTTAAAGCTAGAACACAATTGTAGACCACAATTCACCATTACAAAGTGCACAACAGAAATGGACAAATACCACTGTAATCCCAACATATTCACCTTTGAGTAAGTTCTACAGCAGCACTGATTTTACAATGATTCCACAGTCATTTTACAATAATAATAAAGTTATTAATAAACAAGTACTACAATAGTCATTCTACAGGAACAGTCCAAGTGGCCTCAGCCTCTAGAAACAAGAGGAAACAAGCCTCTTATATTGTCTATAAGAGGCCAGACAATAAGAAACTTCCTTTTTCAGACTTCAGCACTAAAGTTGCAATTAACTTCATTTTCAACTGAGAAAGAGAAAAGCCTGAGACCTAAGACCAGTTAGAAAGCTACAGGACAAAGTAGTAAGGGTCCAGAAATGAGTGTATAGAAATACTCTAGGCTGAGTCTAGAAATCTTGCCACCCAGATAGCAAACGTCCTTTCCTTGAATAAGAGCCTTCTATGTATCCATATGCAGAAAATGCTTTTTGCCAGGCACTATAAACAAAATGGTTTGGGCGTTTCCTTGAGTGTTTACGGGCCCTCCTCAGTAAGGTTACGATGAATGTTTTTATACCACTTCCTTCTAAATGCCCCTGGATTCATGTATGCCTTAGGAACCTCAACTCCTTCCTATTTTAGTTTATTTCAGAAACAACAGTTTGGGAATGTGGGCCTGTTTCCTTTCTGGTAACATGGAAACTTATAATATGCAAAGTAAAAACTCATGACTATTGTTTGTTAAGATGCCTAAATAAGATACGGCATCTTATATTTAAAATTGCCAATAATTAGATAACAATATAAAAAATGGCCCTAGAAGCAGACAAATCATGATCTATTTCACATTAGAGCAGAATCAGAATCAGGCTAGAGTCCAATTTATAGCCCTAGATTCCTCAGGTTTTAGCTCCCTAAAAGCAGAGAAGTAAAATTACAGCTCTCTGGGGTAGTATCTTTCTGTTCGTATCCTAGTGAAAATCTGCCTGTACTTGTGAAAAAGCTGCCTTTATAAGACAATAGGATTATTTTCATGCGGGACCGGTCTGAAGCTTTTTACATTCCTACCCCACTCCCTACCAAACCAAGAATTTTAAAAGGAAAAATACATAAATGTATTAAAAAGATAAAATAATAGAATACCTGGATCTACTTCACTTTTTGCTGACATGTTATATATTGATTCATTTTGTTTCTTTCTAAATTATCTTCCTTTGGTTTCTTCCAGGGAATTTTTTTGTCAGTTTTTTTCTATTTTTTGTTATGTTTTTACTTTTATAATTAAAATCAATAAAAAGTATTCTCTAAAACCAACTATCTAACCAACAGCCAATAAGAGAAAATTAACATTTGGAATTTTCATACCTTTATGCAGACTTTTCACTGCTCAAAGCAAGAAGAGTTCACCTTTATGCAAAAAAATGTTCATGAATTTACTGTACTTTGGCTCTCATGGTCAACTCCCTGCAAAGAATAACTACTTCTTCAAAATTGGCCAAAACTGTACAAAAAGGAATATAAGAATTGAAAGCTTCACAAAACTCCAACAATAAAATGAGGGATGTTATAGCCATTTTTATAGAGGCTTTCTTTTCTATCACTCATACTAATGAACAGAGATTACCGAGAGAGAGGGAGAAAGAGGGGTGACTTATTATATGTAGCAACCCTGGGATTAAGAAAGTTGGCTAGAAAGCCAAAAACATTTATCTCTGAAATCTCAGCTTGATGTTTAATCTCAGATGTACTAGTCTGATGGTCTAAAGAGTTCAAATCCAGGAGGAAGGAGAGTTAAGAAATCTTTGCTGCAGTGTTCATTATGATGGCACCTTAGTGTCTTTCACCTGGAAACACTGAAATATCTGACAGAATTTAGTCCCAATAATTAAGATTGGTACTCATAAAACCAGTAGAAAGAAAGATGCCTCTATAAAAGATAAGCATACAAATAAGTTGGGGTGAACATAAACAGGTTTACCACAGTACACAAGGGACTGACTACTTGGGTTTTTGGAACATCATCAATCATGGATTAGGCTCTTGCTTCTTCTCTAGCTCCAGCTCGGCAGCCGTTTGTACTGCTGCATCGACTAGCAGCAGGAAGCTGCTGAAGTCGGCGTACTCCTCTGGAGACACAAGTTCTGGAGAAGACGGGGAAGTGATAGAAATCTTGACCTTTTTCTTTGGCTGGGCTATTCCGGTGAGCTTCTGGCTAGGGGCCGACTCCGGATCTGGTTGCTTCTCTCTTGACATCTGGCCCTTTGGCAAGGGCCACAGGGGCAGGCTTTGTACATTGTCTGGACCACTGGCCCTGACTTGGCCGGCACAGACGCCTCGGTGCTCTGCAGGTGGGTGGCATGGGCATCTTTGCCCGTTTTGTGGCCAATGATGGGGTCGTTTCTACGCTGTTGAAGCATATCCGGGAGAATGCGTCTGCGAGCATTGATAAACCAGTTAGAAATCCGCAACAAAGACAAATTGGTCTTCTCTGACAGCATTTGCTTCTCTTCTTCTGAAGGGTAGGCCTTAAACCGATGCTTATACATCCAGTCGCGGAGGATCTTAACGGACTCGGCTGGCAAGTTTCCCTTGCGCTTCTTCTTGTGCTCTGGTAAGGCAAGAACTCTGCCTGTATCTGCGTTATTTCTCGACATGATTGAGGTGTCTTGGGCTGGGCTTTGGGTCTTCGCCGGGCTGTCTTTTTCCACCGGGCTTTGGGTCTCAGCCGGGCCGTCTGCAGCGGCCTCCATATTCAAAGAGGCTTATCGTTACTATATTGAGAATCACAGACAACTGAGTTAGGACAAAGGTAGGTTTGGGAGAGCCACTTTAGAAAGCATGGGCAGGTCTGTAAGGGGAATTCTCACCTGTTGTTTCCGAGAAAGACAAACAGCTTTGCTAACAGAGTTGCTAACAGCCGAGCTGGTTATCTCAGTGACGTCACATCCTTTCTTCTCCACGCTGCCCCTCCCCTACACTTCCTGGAGTTCTTCTCCCATTGTTCTTGCGTATTTTCTGTAACTTCCAATGCACTTCATTTCACGCAGTTTATAGCTCTCCAGAGTTTTCTCTGCTGTTGTCACCAGTTTCCACTAACTGACGGACTCTATTTCTATTAGTGTAAATACGCCTATCACTTTCTTCCTATTTGATTTTACTCTGGTATTGTTCTTCCCGTTATTACTTATAATTGTCTCACTGGCTCATCTAGATATATCAGGAACAAATTGTTGATTAGCTACTAAACTCAATAAAAGAGTGTAACTACTGTACGTTGACTCCCCTCTTCCATTCTTCCATGTTCAAAGCAGATATTAATAATAATTTTGAACTAGACTTTTGCTTTTGATGCCTTGCTGCTTAAATTTTTCTTCTCTATGGCCTTAAAATCTTTGTCTTTGTCTTTTTTTTTTTTTTTTTTTTTTTTTGATATGGAGTCTCGCTCTGTCGCCCAGGCTGGAGTGCAGTGGCACAATGGCGGCATCTCGGCTCACTGCAACCTCCATCTCCCAGGTTCAAGCAATTCCCCTGCCTCAGCCTCCCGAGTAGCTGAGATTACAGGCATCTGCCACCACGCCCGGCTAATTTTTTATATTTTTTGTACAGGCGGGTTTCACCATATTAGCCAGGATGGTCTCGATCTCCTGACCTCATTATCTGCCCTCCTTGGCCTCGGCCTCCCAAAGTGCTGGGATTACAGGCGTGAGCCACCACGACCAGCCAAAATCTTTGTCTTTCGAATGACTTTGCTATTGCCTGTCAGTACCACTGAGGTCTTTGTGTCTCTTCCTTGGACTCTGATATCTAGTTGTGATGTTTCTCTTTAAACTTCAGTCAGAAATTCAGGGATCTTTTAGTAATGTGGAATAAGTGGAATAAGATAGAATTCAAGAAATAATGGCCATCACAGACAGTTTATTTAAATATATTTTTTAATTTTTTAAATTTTTTATTTTTTGAGATGAAGTTTCGCTCTGTCACCCAGGCTGGAGTGCAGTAGTGGCGCAATCTCGGCTCACTGCAACCTCAACCTCCCAGGTTCAAGTGATTCTCCTGCCTCAGCCTCCCAAGTAGCTGGGATTACAGACGTGCACCCCCACACCCGGCTAATTTTTGTATTTTTAGTAGAGACAGGGTTTCACCATGTTTGCCAGGTCTCGGACTCCTGACCTCCAGTGATCCACCCACCTCAGCCTCCCAAAGTGCTGGGATTACAGGTGTGAGCTACCGCAGCCGGCCAAATATTTCTTGATATTTCCAGCATGTGGAAATCACCCGATAAGTCAAATGAAAATAATTTGTAAATTTCAAATTTTCATTTCTAGTAGCTGAAAAATAAGGCTTGACTTTTTTCAAGAACACTGTGATTCACTTTGAAGACAATTACCACCAGCATCAACTCTGACTCCTTAATAATACTGTATGGTATTATTTATTTTTAATTTCATATATTTTGCAGAGTCCTAGCTATCGTCTGAAGCAGCATATATTATCCACAGCTTCCTTTTGCCCTTAAGAGTTCTTACTTGTCACTGGGCTGGATTTCAGAATGTTGTCTACTGATCCTTTGGCTGTTGGTAATCTTCCTTACTGGTACTGACTTTCATCACTTAAAATTTATTGTAAGGGAGACCTACTGAATAACACAATCAAATCTAATGAACAACTTAGTAAAGCTCCCAATAACCAATAATTGGGTATGTTGGGTACAATTGAAGGTCTCCTTTGGAATACTCTAGAAAAGAATGCTTCTATTTCCACTGGACTTTTGGGCTTTTGAAACACAGAAGATAAGATTTTCTATGCATAGTAAAAACTCAGTTCCTGCAACTGTTTCTCACCAACACATTTATGCCTCATGCTCGCTGAAAGTATTTTTGTGCGTCAGCATGACTTGTAGTAACTTACCCTCCCTCACTTATTACTCCTATATGTTCTTTCTATGTATGGGGATTCAGGCCTCTGCTCAAGGATTGACGTAGAATTGCACATATTTAACGAATTGCAGATTTCTTCTCACTGATATGATCTGGGTTCTTGATTTTTAATGTCTACTTTATGCATCCCCTCTAAAAAGAATATTATGATGGCTCAAAATTATTCCCAGGAGATTTGGAGACTGTCTTTTCCTCTATCAACAGATACAGGAACATGGAGAAATCTGGAAAGTAGGTGAGAAATTGGAAATGAATCCCATCGCTTTTGACACAAAAAATGTGACTTCCTTTTATGATGAAATAATTGAAATGCTGAATAGAAACTGTATTACCTTTCTTCCAGTTTTTGGTGATACAAAATTATGAATTATGGGTATCTCTGAGAGAAAGATAGATTGCTTCCACCTACTTCTTTAAAACTTGTAAGAAGATAAAATGATCTAAATAGTGTCTATCAGTTTTTATCTTCCTTTATTGTTTCTTTTTATGTGAAGTACACAGATCTCATTGTAAACAGTTTGTCTATTTATAAGCATTGATTTATTTACTTGTGACTCTGAAAAGTGCCTTCTCATGACTGTATTAGGGATGCCAATGGCATTACACTATAATAGACACTTTATTTCTCAAATTATAAAAGACCATAATGAGACTGAGGTCCTTAATATTTTATTGCGTATTGTTTCCAGTAATATAATTTTCATATAAGTATTCTACAAACCAAATTATGTTGATCTACTTGTAGAGTTTTAGAGAAAGCTTAATTTTTGGCATCGAAGAAATGGGAGACTATAAAACCAAATTAAAAAACAAAAACAAGGCCAGGCGTGGTGGCTTACGCCTGTAATCCCAACACTTTCGGAGGCCGAGGCGGGTGGATCACGAGGTAAGGAGTTCGAGACCAGCCTGGCCAGCATAGTGAAACCCCTGTCTCTGCTAAAAATACAAAAAATTCGCCGGGGTTGATGGCGGGTGCCTGTAATCTCAGCTCCTCGGGAGGCCGAGGCAGGAGAATCACTTGAACCCAGGAAGCAGAGGTTGCAGTGAGCCAAGATTGTGCCATTGCACCCAGCCTGGGCGACAGTGCAAGACTCCATTTCAAAAAAACAAACAAGCAAACAAACAAAAAAACAAAAACAAAAATCAAAGCACAGTGAACTAAGCAAAAATTGGTGATGTGGTAACTGAATTTCACCAACTCTAAAAATAAAGAATGTCCCGGGAGGCAGAGCTTGCACTGAGCTGAGATCACGCCACTGCACTCCAGCCTGGGTGACAGAGCAAGACTCCGTCTCAAATAATAATAATAATAATAATAATAATAATAATAATAAAGAATGTTGTCAAGGACATACTGCTTTTTCATATCGTAAAGTATCTGGATAATTCCTGCCAGGTATTTTACACTTCGAAATGAATTGAAGAAAATGTCAGGAAACCAGCACTAAACCCCTGTTGACAGAAATGGTGGCATGTTAAGAGTAAGAAGTGTAGGAAGTTCTAGCAGATTCAACTAATATACCTTAATTTGGAGGGATGAAAGTTGGAAGTATGGCCTGACTGTAAGAGATACCATAGAATTATCCCCCAATAAGACTTATGGATCTTACAGCTTATTCTATTCATTTTCCTCAACTTAAGGAGCAAATGATTCTCTTTGTAAAAGATGTAAAGAAAATGCTTTCCAGATCTTTATAAATCTGGTATGACTCGGATGTGAAAATCTCACAAAGCATGACAGAAATATCTGTGGCAGATTCACTTATAACATCATAAATTATTACTGGATAGAATGTACATTCATGTAAAATATAAAACACATGAAAAAATGGAAACATGTAAAATGCAGCATGATCTAACATTAGAATATATATTTTGAGAATTAATCACATTCATGGATAAAAGAAAAAATGTCATCTTGTTGGAGTTTGAGTAACTATTTTAATGAATTTAAAATAAATTTCTGGGCCGGTCACGGTGTCTCATGCCTATAATCCCAGCACTTTGGGAGGCCGAGACAGGTGGATCACCTGAGGTCAGGAGTTTGAGACTAGCCTGGCCAACATGACAAAACCGCATCTCTACTAAAGAATACAAAATTAGTGAGGCGTGGTGACGTGCACCTGTAATCCCTACTTGGGAGTCTGAGGCAGGGAGAATTGCTTGAAGCCCAGGAGGTGGAGGTTGCAGTGAGCCAAGTTGGTGCCACTGCACTACATCCAGCCAGGGTGAGAGAGCGAGACTCCATCTGAAAAACAAACAAACAAACAAATAAATGAATTTATGATAAACATATTTTAATGAAATAAGGATAAAAGGATCCTTCCTTTGTATAACATAGATTAATAAAAAGTTAAAATCTCCAATATACAGCCTTATGGTTAACAATAAAACAAAAATGATTCTTTCAATTTCATAAGTAAGGCAAAGATGTTTATTTTCACTACTATAAAATTGCTTAAAAATTTGATCCAATAGAATTAATCAAACAAAAATAAATACAATAAATATACTAAAAGGAGGAAAAATATTATTATTTGTTGATAGCATGATTTGCCACTTAGGAAATACCTAAAAATCAATTGAGAAACCATTATAAATAATAAGAATTATGTAAGGTGGTCAGTTACAAACAAATAAAAGATAAACATTAACATGTATCAATAATCGTAATTTAGAAAATATATTGGGAAAATTACCTAGTTCATAATCGTATCAAGAATAAAGATACAAAAAGATATAGGCCTAAAATTAGAAATTATTGTCTACACCCTATGCAAATAAAAGTAGAAAATTTTATTTAATAACATAAAATGGATGTTAAAAGTTAAAATACATTCTATTTTACCCTAGGAAATTTCACTATTTTAATAAATTTAATTCTCTTTAAATTTACTTTAATTACATATTCCTATCAAAATCACAAGTGATTTCCCATATGTTTTTGTGGCTTGATAGCTCATTTCTTTTTAGCCCTGAATAATATTCCATTATATGGCTATATCACAGTTTATCTATCCACCTACTGAAGGACATCTTGATTGCTTTCAAGTTTAGGGACTTATGAACAAACATCCATGTGCAGGTTATTGTGTGGGCATACATTTTCAACTCATTTGGAGAAATTTCAGAGATTGCAATTGCTGGATTATATGGTGGTAAGAACATGTTTAGTTCTATAAGAGACTGCCAAACTGTCTTCTAAAATGGCTGTACTATTTTTCATTCTCACCAACAATGAATGAGAATTCCTGTTGTTTCACATTCTCACCAGCTTTTGATGTCCATATTGTTGATTTTAGTCATTCTACTAGATGTGTAGTAGTATCTCATTGATTTATATTGCAATTCCCTAGTGACTTAGGCATCTTGTTTTTATACTTATATATAAAATCAGTATATCTTCTTTGGTGAGGTGTCTGTTTAGATCTTTTGACGATTTTTAATCAGATTGGTTTCCTTGGTTGAATTTCAAGAGTTTTTCTGCATATTTTGAATACCAGTTCATTACTAAGTATATGTTTTTTAATATTTTCTGCTGGTATGTGCCTTGTTTCTTAATTTTCTTAACAGTGTTTTTCACAGAACAAAATGTTTTAATTTTAATTAAATTCAACTTATAAATTCTTTTTTTTGTAGATTGTACATATGATGTTGAACTTAAAATGACATCACCAAAACTGAGGCCATCTAAATTTTCTCTGTTATTTTCTAAGTGTTTCATAATTTTGCACTTTACATTTAGTTCTATGATCCATTTTAGGTTAATTTTTGTAAAAGGTGTAACTACTGTGTATTTACCTTAAACTAATCTGTATCTTTATAATATACATCTCTTGTACAATTCCTTGTATTGGTCTTGCCCTTTTGTACAATCTGGAAATTGCTTCTATTTAATTGGAGCTATTAATCTTCTTATATTTAATATAATAATAATAGTTATATTTGGTCTACCACTTTAATATTTATCTTTTTACAACATATTTTTGTTTCTCTGTTTTCCCTTATTGTCTTCTTTTTAGTTCATTAAATATTTGTTAGCATTTAATATTAACATCTATTAGCTTTCTGAAATACCTATTACAATTACATTTTAGAGGTATCTCTAGTGATAGCAATATATATTTTTAAGTTTTTACAGTCTCCATAGATTTCATATTCTACCACTTTGCAAAAAATATAAGAACATTGTGCTTGGATATGTTCATTCTCTATACCTCTATCTTCTATTTTATAGTTTTCATGTGTATTATATTGAAATATGTTCAAAACTATATTAAAATGTTATAACTTTTGTTTAAATCAGTTACGTGTCTATTTAAGTAATTAAGAGGAAATATAGTCTGTTAGTTTCCTGACATCTTCAGAATTTTCTGTGTTTTCTGTTCATAACTAAAAGTCTGATTTACATCTGGAATAATTACTCTTCAGCCAGAAAAACTTTCTGTAGCAGTTATTCTCAGGTATTTATAGAGATGACAGATTTTCTTAGTATTTAGTTTTTATTTTCTGAGTATGTCTTCACTTCACTTCCATTATTAAAAGATATTTTTGCTAGATATAGAATCAGATTTTCAGTTAATGGTTTTATTTATTGTTGAGCCCATTAAAAATCTCCCTCCACTGCCTTTCCATTTTCATTATTTCTGAATTATAGTGATAACTGATTCACATTTTTCATGGCCTTTTAAGGTCAGTTTTCAAATGTCTGAACATGATTTATTTTCTGTTTGTTGTCTCTTCTTCATGTTGTCTGAATTTCTTAACTCTACACATATATGAATTTTCTTAAAATGAAGATTTTGGTCTTTATTTCTTCAGATAGTATTTCTGTCCCATGCTGTCACTCCTCATTTTCTGATACCTTCATTTTATATATTTTAGACTTTTTCACACTTTACCAGAGATTATTGTAGATCTACTCATTTTTTAAAATATTTTTTCTCTATTTTTCTGATTGGATAATTTATATCAATCTATCTATTTTTTCTTTATTTTCCTGACTGGATAATTTATATCAATCTATCTTTAAGTGAATGTATGTTTCTTCTTTTATTTGTAATCTGACATTATATAGGAACCTAGATAGCTAGGTTCTGTGTTTGTTTACATATTGTAATTTTAATCTGAGCATGTCTGCTTTTAAAAGTCTCTACCTCCTTAAAATTGCCTATCAATTTATTCATTAAGCATATTTTCCCAAAAGTCTGTGAGTTACAGTAATTACAGCTGTTTTAAAGAACTGTCTGCTAATTTCAAACATCAACATTATGCCTGAGTCAATCTCCATTTGTTGTTTTTTTGTTTTTAACCTGAGCATGAAATATTTTTTCTGTTTCTTCATATGTCTAATAATTTTGGATTATATCTTAGACATCATAAAATATTGCAGAGATTCTTGAGTCTATTATATTCATTGAAACAATGGAGTTTTTTCATTTGTTGTAGTTTCAGCCCGAAATTAACTTGGCTGGGTATATTTTTTTTTAAATATTGACTGCCCTGCATGGAGAATCAGCTGAAATTAAAAATATATATGTCTTAGCCTTACCTGGTCTGTGTGGCATCTGACCTGACTTTGCATACTTCTTGGGTCAGCTAGAAATTTGGGCAATATTTATACATAAATTTTGGGACTCGTCTTCTCTGGAATTTTTCTCCAACATTTCCTCTTCAATTTACAGTTGCTGTGGCAGCCTAAACTCTACCACATGTGGATACCATATGTGGATAGTCGTGCAGACAAGACTGTGGAATTCCATGTAAATGGAGGTAACTTACGTGAAATGAACTGGAGCCTGTCTTCTTTTTCATAAGAAGCCTTTAAAATATCAGAAACTTACTGTTATATTAAGCTGTCGACTCCTTTGTGGTTTTATCATGCTTTTTGTTGTGCTCTAATGTTAGATTTAAAGAATATTTTAAATATTTTCTCCATAGTTTATAGTTATCTGAAGTAGTATTGCTCTGATAGGTACTTTTAAAGAGGGAATTCTGGATATTCTTTAAATATGCAGATATCTACTCAATATGCTTTATCAAGCTTGGATTGTTCTATCTTGGAAAATAGTAGTTATTAAATATAATACGTCACAATTTTACTAAAATTTGTAACAAAAGAATATTTTATCTCCATTGCTTATTTTCATATCATCATAAAGAATTTTGATTTGAATGTGACTTTAGAGAGAATCTGTGTGCGTATGAAATTTTTTAAAAAAGGCTCCGTAATGGAAACTAATTTTTCCAATCATGAAGAATATTTTGGTGTAAAACCTGGACTGAAACCCAAGCCTCATGATTACCATCAAATATACCCCACTTTGACTCAGTAGTTATTTGATTTAATGGCTGAGATTAAGAAAACGCTCTTTTTGTTTTTTTCTACTATAACAATCTTTGCTAGTATATTTTTAGAAGCAGGAAAATATCTGTAAATTTTTAGTTTAATCAGTAGTTTAAAATTATATATTAATATAAGTTTGAACTAAGGCTAGAGTTAATATAATTTTTGGCAAGTATGAATAAAATCTACATATTATTTTCATTTGAAGATTTTGAATAAGTGTAGATATTACAAGACACAAACAGTAAACTTAAATGTAGTACAAAAATATATGTTGTAATAGTAAATACATCAGTATGCATATTTTAATAATTGATATTATACTCTGAATAAAGAGTTGAACTTTTAAATAATAGTATTTTGCCTTTGGCTTTGAATATCACCTTTTACCTACAGGTGAAGCAATTATCTGGGGATGAATAAATGACCAACATGCAGAATATTAAAGAGGTCAATATAGTAAAAAAGCATAATTAATAATATATGAACATTAAATTTCCAGTATCATAGTCATATTATAAAGGTTACATTAAAAAGTTGAAAACATAGCGAGACATATGTAGATACTTATGACAAAAGGAAAATATCATTTTATTTTATGAACATCAGTTGTAAATTAAATGTACTACCTAGGGACAGCAAATAACTTTTACCCAGTGTGCTATACCTCTTTTATTTTTGCATAGTTGTGCTTTGTAACTCACTCTATTAAACTTTTCATTGCTTTCTCATTGTTTGGGATTGTGGAGAGGAAATGAAAAAATCTTCTTTTGCCATTTCGGAAGGCATGACATTCACAGGTTGTTATGCCAGCTTCCTAAAATAGCTATTTTGGTTAGGCATTTAAACTATTTACTGTATTGTGGTGCCAAGAATAATGTCTCAACATTATTGTACTCATATCTTTTAAACTAAGTGTAACAGAAGTGTAAGGTGCTATATCTTATTTAAAACTTATACCAATTAATCAGAAAATCTAATTTCTTTCAAGGCAAAATTTATATCAGTGTTTCCATTCCATAGAACTCATGGAATTAGTTGGCTTTCAAAACTTTTTTCCCCCATATATTGGAAAAGTTGAGAAAATTTAAAACTAATTTTATATAACTTCCCAAAATCAACATGCATTTTCAAATCTATTTAGTTCATTGCATTTTCTCTATCTTTAGTGTACTTTAATTGGTAGTGAAACCTGAAAAACTACTAACAAAAAATTGTATATACATATACTTGTTCCTTCAGTGAGCAAGATGACAGACTGGCTTATTGAACAGTCTTCTTGTTTTCTAGTTCAGCAGACGATTTCTAGGGTGTATTCTCCTTTTGAAGAAGTGTGGTAGTTAGAAGAAGAGGAAATTGGTTAACAGAATATTGAAAAGTTAGTTTTATTTTATGGAAAATTCTCATTAAAACAGAGCAAATATGAAAAATTAGGTATATAAGCAGACAGATTTTAGTCACAGTTCTGAATTCCTGTTCTATCCCCTCCCTCACCTTTTGTTTCACCTGTGTGACAAATATATTCTTTTTTTCTCTTATTTGCTTCTCATTTCATCTGATTATTTTCATCTCTCCTTAAAACATTTTAAATTTTTTGTGTTCTATTTTAATAGTCTATATTCTGGGTTTTTTTTTAAAGAAATGATTTGTCTCCAGTCCAGTCATTATCCAGTGTCTCACATTAAAGATTTTTGACTTCTTGATACTATTCCTCTACTAGGCTCCTAATGTACCACTGACTCTATGTTCAATTCAAAATTACAGTATTCATCTTATCATGCAGTCTGAGAAAATAGGGCCAGGGTTTATCTTATCTTGTAGCATTGGCCCAGCAAACGGAATGAAGAAAATTTGGTAGTGGTGTGAAAGGATTCTGTGCTCTAAGTAAGTGCATTTGTTGTAACTTTACCATTGTGGAATAGGGATTATTGAGACCTGAAGGATAACTAATTATTTAAAAATTAATGACTTTTCATAAACAAAACATGAACATATAGGTAGAGAGAAATCACAAACTTAGCCATATTGCGTCAACATTTATCTATTGAATTTTACTTTGACTCAAAGATGAGTCAATTTGGAAACAAAAGTGAGATTTATAATAGCATGGACTATTGTGAATTTTATTTAACTTTTTATTTTGAGCTAATTGTAGATGAATATGCCATTGTAAGAAATAATACAAAGAAATCCTGCCTGCCCTCACCCAGTATTCCCCAGTAGTTACGCCTTGCATAACTGGAAACAATAACACAGCCAGGATATTGACATTGATAAGATTCATTGACATGGGCTGGACTTGGTGGCTCACGCCTGTAATCCCAGCACTTTGGGAGGCCAAGGAGGGCGAATCACGAGGTCAGGAGATCGAGACCATCCTGGCTAAGACGGTGAAACCCCGTCTCTACTAAAAATACAAAAAATTAGCCGGGCGAGGTGGCGGGCGCCTGTAGTCCCAGCTACTCGGGAGGCTGAGGCAGGAGAATGGCGTGAACCCGGGCGGCGGAGCTTGCTGTGAGCCGAGATCACACCACCGCCCTCCAGCCTGGGAGACAGACTGCATCTCAAAAAAAAAAAAAAAGATTCATTGACATTGACTCATTTTTGTGTGGTATGTCTACCTAATTTTATGCAGTTTTATTACCTGTTCAGATTTCTGTGACCACCACAATAATCAAAATATGGAAGAGATCCATTAAAAGGATCCCTCCTGCTGCCATTATAGCAAGTCACCTCATCCTTCCCTAACTTCTGGCACATGCTAAGCTGTTTTCATTTTTAATATTTTGTCATTTTAAGAATGTTACGTAATATTTTATAGATGGAATAATTGAGTATATAACTGTTTTAGATTGGCATTTTTTTCATTCAGTATAATTACCTTTAATGTAATACTAGTTGTTGAGTGTCTTGACAGGTCCTTTTTATTGCTGAGAAATATTCCATAGTATATGTATGCTAACTGCAGCACAACAATTCATCTAATGAATTGCATTTTGGTTATTTACAATTTTTATATTACGAATAAAGCTGTTATGAACATTTATGTAAGGAATTTTTATGAAATCAAACAAATTCTGGGATAGATATTCAAGTATAGAATTCCTCGGTTTTACAGAAGGCACATGTTTGCCTTTCCATAAAGTTGCCAAAATTTTCGGAATGGTTCTATCATCTTACATTGCTTGAAGCAATGTATTAGTATTTTGTTTTCTCCACATTGTCACCATTTGGTATTGTCACTACTTTTAATCACTCTGATAAGTGTGCTGTGATATTTTAATATGGTTGTTATTTGCATTTCCCTAATGACTAATGATGAATACAATTTGATGTACTATATGCCATGTGGATATCCTCTTGAGTAAACTGTCTGTTTATGCCTTTTGCCCTATTATAATTGGATTCTTTGGCTCTTTTCTGTTGAGTTTAGAGTGTTAAAAAAAAAAAGTATATCCTAATACTAGCATTTGCTGGACAGGTGGTTTCAAAATATTTTATTAGACTCAACATATTGTATTTCTTAAAGACTTTATTTTTTAGAAAAGTTTTAAATTAAAAACATTAGCAGCTACTTCAGAGTTCCTTCATACCCTACCCCCAGATCCACATTTCCCCCTATTATAAACACTTTGCATGAATGTGGCACATTTTCAACAAGTTATGAAGTAATATTGATGCATTAATATTAACTAAAGCCCAGAGTTTACGTTAAGGCTCACATTTTGCGTTGTATAGTTCTCTGGGTTTTGGGTTTTGTAAATGAATAATGCCATGTATCTAGCAATACAGTGCCATAGACAACACTTTCACTGCCTTGAAAATCCTCTGTGCTTTACCTATTCATATTCCACTACAATATGCATTCAAGGTTTTTCTATATCTTTTCATGGCTTGCTTGCTCATTTCTTTTTATCACTAAATAATATTCTGTTGTATGAATGTATGATTGTTCATCCATTTATCTTGGTTACTTCTGTTTTAGGGCAATTACACTTAAAGCTGCTATAAGATTTTATATGCAGATTTTTCTGTTGACATAAATTTTAATTGGATAAATACGTAGGTGTGCAATTGCTGGACCATATAATGAGACAATTTTTATCTTTGTAACATACCGGCAAATTGTCTTTCAAAGTGCCTACAACATTATGCATTGCTATCAGCAAAAAATGAAAGTTCATGTTACTCCCCATTCTGACTAGCATTTGGTATTGTCAGTCTTTTGGATTTTAGCTATCTTAATAGGTATTTAAGAGTAGTTCATTATTGTTTATTTTATTATTCCCTAATGACATATGAAACTGCACATCTTTTCATATGATTATTTGCCATCTCTATATTTTTTGATGAGGCATCTATTCGAATGTTTTGCCTATTTTTAATTGGGTTGTTTGTTTTTTTATTATTGATTTTTAAGAGTTCTTTGTATAATTCGAATATGTTTTATTTTTAATCACATAAGTGCTTTGCAAATATTTTTAAAATGTCTATAGACTTGTCTTTTCATTCTTTTAACAGTATCTTTCACAGAGTAGAAGTTTTTTGTTGTAATGATGTGCAACTTAATTTTTTCTTCCATGGATAGTACTTTTGGTGTTGTATCTAAAAAGTCATCGTAACCACAAAACACAAGGTTACCTAGAGTTTCTCTTATGATTTTTGAAACAACATTTTATAGTTTTCTATTTCATATTTAGGTCTATAATCCATTTAGTGGTGTGTGTGCATGTGTATGTGTGAAAGGTCTAAGGACTGTGTCTAGACATTTTTTTGGCATATAATGTCTACTTGTTCCAACACCATTTGTAGAAAAAGTTATCCTTTCTCCATTGGATTGTCTTTGCTTTTTACTGTCCAAGATCAGTTGACCATAGTTTTTCAGGTATATTTCTGGGCTTTCTATACTGTTTCATTGATCAATTTGTTCACTTTTTAAATCAATACCACACTGTCTTTGTTTCTTATCATTATAATATTTCTTAAAGTAGTGTAGTATCAGTTCTCTGATTTTTTTTTCTTTTTCATTCTTTTGCTGTCTATTCTGGCACTTTTGCCTTTCCATATAAACTTTAGAATTAATTTGTTGATGTCAACAAAACAGCTTTCTGAGATTGTGATTGGTATTGTATTAGAATTATGTTGGAGAAATTGGCATCTTAACAATATTGAGTCTTCCTATTGATGAACATGGATTCTCACTCTTTTTATTTCTTATTTAATTTCTTTCAACAGAGTTTTGTAGTTTTCTTCATATAAATCCTGTATATATTTTGTTAGATTTATACTTATTCATTTAATATTTTTGGTTATAACATAAATGGCATTTTGTTTTTAATTTCACATTTCATTTGTAGATTTCTGGCATAAAAAATGCTATTGATTTTTTAACTAACCTTGTATTCTACAAACTTGCCATAATCCTGTATTAAGTTCCCTGCCTCAATTTTTAAAAATCATGTCTTTGGAGTTTTCTAAATAGACAATCATGTCATTGAAGAAAGACATCTAGGGTCACTTGTGGGTTTTTCCCCTAAAATTTAGTATTTTCACCCATCTTTATTTTATTTCATTTTTTAAAATGTGAAACCTTAACATAGCTTCAAAACACAAAACTATGCATAAAGCTACACTCAGAAGCTACACATTGTACCCGGTGCTCCTTTATAGCCTATAGGTAAATAATTTGATTTGTTCTTGCCTTATTCTTTGTTTTTCTTCTTTAAAAAGCAGATATAACTTTGTAATGTTTTTAAATTATATAGGTATATATATATATATATATAAGGTATATATATATATAGGTATATATACCCATATATAGGTGTGTATATATAGGTATATATACCATATATATATACCATATATGTATATATATGATATATATATATATGTACACACACAAACCTTAATTTGTATATTTCTTTGTGCTTTTTTTCATTTAACTGCAATCTTGGAAATAACTCCATATTGGTTATAGAGATTGTCCTCACTTTCTCTATCAGGTTGCTATAGTTCTTCCTGGGGTGTATGGTTTATGTAACATAATTCGTTCAAACTATTTTCCATATTTTGCCATATAGATTGTTCTTGTTATTTAAAAATTACAACTGTTGATACAATGAACAAAGTTGTGCATATGCATGGAGAGAACTTAAGGATAAATTCCTAGAATTGAGATACAGTATAGTTTATTAATATAATGCTATAGTATAGTTTTATTAGAATTTATCAAATCTCTTTCTACAGTGATTGTATAATATTGTGTTTCCAATGGCTCTATATGATTGTGCTGCTTTCCCGACATTCTTACCAACTAAACATGTTACCAATGTTTTGAATATTGGCAATTTTTGAGAGGTATAGAATGGTATCTCAAAGTAGCTATCACAGATATTTCCCTTATGAATTCATTTATATAGCTTTATATCATGTATTTGGTATTTTCTTTACATTTTGGATTATCTTATTTTATACTTTCCTATTTTGTATTTTATTTTGTTATTTTCTCCAATATGAAAATAGTTAACCTGGAATATAGATTTGCTTTTAAGTTATTATTTTTTGGTGAAAAATTCAAAATTTGTTTACTATGATTTTAGCCTTAAATAAATGTATTAATACATAGTAAAGTTTATCACTCAAAACATAGGTTTTGAGTTATAGTTAGAAAGATTTTTGCACATCAAAGATTATAAGATTTTACTCATCCTTTCTTCTAATTTGTACACGGTATCTTTCTTTATTTGGTTATTTTCTGCTAAATTTATATCTCCAAATAATTTGTACTTGATTGTTGTGTGGTATGAGATATAGACATTGTTTTTTTCTCAAAATGACTATCCAATTATCTCAATGTAATTTATATGTCCCTTTTAGCTCTGGTGATATAAAATGCCAACATTATATTATAAATATAACTATATACTTGGGTCTACTTTTGTAATTCTTTATTAATTCATTTCTGCCTGTGTATTAGTGTGCCAGTATGTTATTGCATTACTATAGAGACGTTGTTTATGTTTAAATATCTAGTGGGGCTAGAGGCTCCATGCAAAGCTCTAGCTATTAATTTTTACACTGGCCATACACCTTCCTGTTCATTTTCCATTATGTGTAGTACAAAAACATGGGGGTTTGTTGTACAAATTATTTTGTTACCCAGGTATTAAGCCTAGTACCCATTAGTTATTTTTCCTGATCCTCTCCTTCCTCCCACCCTCCACCCTTTGATAGAACTCAACATGTGCTGTTTCCCTCTATGTGTCCATGTGTTACCATTATTTAGCTCTCACTTGTAAGTGAGAGCATGTGGTATTTGGTTTTCTGTTCCTGTGTTAGTTTTCTAAGGAAAATGGCCTCCAATTTCACCCATGTTCCTGCAAATAAGAAGATTTTATTCCTTTTTATGGCTGCATAGTATTTCATGGTGTACATGTACCACATTTTCTTTATATAGTCTACCATTGATGGGCATTGAGGTTGATTTTATGTATTTGCTATTGTGAATAGTGTTGCAATGAATGTATGCATGCATGTGTCTTTATAATAGCATGATTTATATTATTTTCGCTATATACCCAGTAATGGGATTGCTGGGCCAAATGATGTTTGTGTTTTTAGGTTTTTGAGGACTTGTCACACTCTCCCACAATGGTTGACATAATTTACAGCCCCATCAACAGTGTATAAGCCTTCGTTTTTCTCCACAATTTTGCTAACATCTTTCAATTTTTGACTTTTTAATAACAGCCATTCTTACTGGTATAAGATGGTATCTCATTGTGGTTTTGATTTATGTTTGTATAATGATCAGTGATGTTGAGCTTTTTTATATATGATTGTTGGCCACATGTATGTCTTCTTTCGAAAAGTGGCTGTTCATGTCCTTTGCCCACTTTTTAATGGGGTTGTTTTTTTACTTTTTGATTTGTTTAAGTTCATTATTGATGCTGGATATTAGACCTTTGTTGGATGCATAGTTTCCAAACATTGTCTCCCATTCTGTGGGTTTTCTGTTCACTCTTTTGATAGCTTCTTTTGCCATGCAGAAGGCTCTTTAGTTTAATTGAATCTCATTTGTCAATTTTTGCTTTCATTGCAATTTCTTTTGGTGTCTTTATCACGAAATACTTGCCCATTTCTATGTCCAGAACAGTATGGTCTAGGTTGTCTTCCAAGTTTTTTTATAGTTTTGGGTTATACATTTAAGTCTTTAATCCATCGTGAGTTAATTTTTGGATATGGTGTGAGGAAGAGGTCCAGTTTCTATCTTCTGCATATGACTAGTCAGTTATCCCAGCACCATTTACTGAGGAGAGAATCATTTCCCCATTGCTTATTTTTGTCAGATTTGTCAAAGATCAGATGGTTTTAGGTGTGTGGCTTTACTTTTGGGTTCTCTATTTTGTTCCATTGGTCTATGTGTCTGTTTCTGTACTAGTTCCATGCTGTTTTGGTTACTGTAGCCTTGTAACCAAACTACAGCCTTGTACTGCAGTTTGAAGTTCGGTATCATGGTGCCTCTGGCTTTGTTCTTTTGCTTATGTTTGCCTTGGCTATTTGGGCTCTTTTTCTGTCCCAGATGAATTTTAAAATAGTTTTTTCTATTTCTATGAAGAATATCAATGGTAGTTTATTGGGAGTAGCATTAAATCCAGAAAATGCTTTGGGCAGTTTAGTCACTTTAACAACATTGATTCTTCCTATCCATGAGCATGGAATGTTTATCCATTTGTTTGTGTCATCTCTGATTTCTTTGAGCAGTCTTTTGTTGTTCTTGTAGAGTCCTTCACCTCCATTCACCTCCATTGTTAGCTATGTTCATTGATATTTTATTTATCGTGTGTGGCAACTGTGAACGGGAAGATGTTCCTGATTTGGCTCTTGGCTTGACTGTTGTTGGTGTATAGGAATGTTTCTGATTTTTGCACACTGATTTTGTATCGTGAGAATTTGCTGAAGTTGTTTATCAGCTTAAGAAGCTTTTGGGCTAAGACTGCGGTTTTGTAGATATCGGATCATGTTGTCTGCAAATGGGTAGTTTGACTTCCTCTCTTCCTATTTGGATGCACTGTATTTCCTTCTCTTGCCTGATTGTCCTGGCCAGGACTTCCAATACTATCTTAAATAAGAGTGGTGAGAGAGGGCATCCTTGTCTTGTTCAGATTTTCAATAGGAATGATTCCAGCTTTTGCCCATTCAGTATGATATTGGCTGTGGGGTTGTCACAGGTGGCTATTATTATTTTGAGGTATGTTCCTTCACTACCCGGGTTATTGAGTTTTTAACATGAAGCAATATTGAATTTTACAGAAACCATTTTCTGCATCTATTGAGATCATTATGTTGTTTTAGTCTGTACTGAGGTTTATGTATGAATCACACTTAATGATTTGCACATGTTGAACCAACCTTGCATCTCAGAGATAAATCCTGCTTTATTGTGGTTGCTAAACTTTATGATGCACTTATGGATTCAGTTTGCCAGTATTTCGTTGTGTGTTTTTGTGTCAATGTTTCTCAGGAATATTAACCTAAAGTTTTCTTTTTTTATTGTCTCTCTGCCAGGTTTTGATATCAGGGTGATCTTGACCTCATAGCCTCAAAGAATGAGTTAGGTAGGAGTCTCTCCCCTTCAATTTTTTTGGAGTATTTTCACTAGGAATGGTACCAACTCTTGTTTGTACATCTGATATAATTCAGCTATGAATCTAACTGGTCCTAGGCTTTTTTGGCAGATAGCCTACTTATTACTGACTCAATTTCAGAGATCATTTTTGGTCTGTTCAGGGATTCAATGTTTTGCTGGTTCTGTCTTGGGAGGTTGTATGTCTAGGAAATTACCCATTTCTTCTAGATTTTCTAGCTTATGTGCATAAAGGTATTCATAACGTTCTCGGATGTTTATTTGCCTTTCTTTGTTGTCAGTGGTAATATCCCCCCTGTTGTTTCTGTTTCTTTGAATCATCTATATTTTGTTCTTTATTAGTCCAGCTAGTAGTCTACTGTATGTGTGTGTATATATATATATATATATATATATATATATATATATATATATATCACCTCTTGGATTCATTTTTTAAAATGGTTTTTCATGTCTCAATCTCCATCAGTTCAGCTCTGATTTTGGTTATTTCTTGTCTTCTGCTAGCTTTAAGAATGGTTTGCTCTTGGTTCTTTAGTTCTTTTAGTTGTGATGTTAGGTTGGTAAATTGAGATTTTTCTAACTTTTTGGTAAGGGCATTTAGTGCTATAAATTTTCCTCTTAACACTGCCTTAGCTGTGTCCCAGAGATTCTGGTATGTTGTATCTTTGTTTTCATTAGTTTCAAAGAACTTGATTTCAACCTTTATTTCATTATTCACCCAAAAGTCCTTCAGGAGCAGGTCATTCAATTTCCATGTAATTGTTTGGTTTTGAGTAAATTTCTTAATCTTGATTTCTAATTTGATTGTGCTGTGGTCCAAAAGTTTGTTATGATTTCAGTTATTTTGCATTTGCTGAGGAGTGTTTTAATCCTGATTATGTGATTGATTTTAGAGTATGTGTTATGTGGTGATGAGAAGAATGTGTATTCTAATGTTTTTCAGTGGATAGTTCTGTAGATGTCTATCAGGTCTATTTGATCCAGTGCTGAGTCCAAGTTTTGAACATCTTTGTTAATTTTCTGTCTTGATGTTCTAGTATTGTCAGTGGGGTGTTAAAGTCTCCCACTATTATTGTGTAACAGTCTCTCTTTGAAGGTCTCTAAGAATTTGTTTTATGAATCTGGCTGCATCTGCATTGCGTGCATATATATTTAGGATAGTTCAAACTTCTTGTTGAATTGAACCCTTACCATTATGCAATGCCTTTTTTGTCTTTTTTACTCTTTTTTGGTTTAAAGTCCCAGGTTTCTCCCTCTTCATCCCAACTTCTGTGTATTCCCTTCATCCAATCTCAGTGCCTTCTCTGAATATCTGTTAGAAGCACGTTAGTCATCTTAGTCCTAGTGGGAGCTGTTTCACTTGGCTGCATCTAGCTGACCATTTTGCTCTTGCCTCCTGTTTCTGATTATTTTTGTGTCTTTAGAAAGGTTTTGAGATTTTCTTTTTAAATGCTTTAAACATTTTTATGTTAATTTGTATGTTTTGTTGTTGCTGCTACTAGTATAAATGAGGTTTTCCCTTTTTTATATCTGTAAATAGCTTTTTTATGTGTATTAGGCTATTGGTACTTTAAAAAAATAACATTATCAAGTTACAATTACATACCATATAATTCGCCCATTTAAAGTGTGTAAAATTTAGTGATTTTTGGTAAATTTACAGTTATACAACTATATCAGGGTTCTTCAGAAAGAATCAGTAAGATATAGATATAGATATGGATGCAGATAAATAAGAGGAGATTTATTACAGCAATTGGCCCATATGGTTAGGCGGGGGCTAGAACTCCCATGATCTGCCATCTGCAAACTGGAGAACCAGGAAAGTCAGTGGTATTATTCGGTCCAGGTTTAAAGGCTTGAGAATTAGGCGGCCCATGGATGGTATAAACCCTAGTCTGAGTCTGAAATCCTGAGACGCAGGAGAACTGATGTCCGAGGGCAGAAGTTGAATGCCTCAGCTCAAGCAGAGTGAATTTATATTTCGTCTGTTGTTTTGTTCTATTCAGGCCCTCATCTGCTTGGATGATGCCCACATACATTGAACCAGGCCATCTACTTTAATTGATTCACCAATACGAGTGCTGATCTCTTCTGGGAACACGCTTACAGAAATAGTGTTTTACCAGCTATCTAGACGTGCCTTAGCCCAGTCAAGTTGACACATAAAATTAACCATCATAAATCCATCCCTTGTCAAAATGGCCCCTACTTGCATCTTCTTAAAGCATACTTAATCTCCAAATAAAACCAATAACAAGGTCAAAATTTTACCTGTCATGATACAGCTATCCTGTGTACAACTGAAAACACACTAATTCTTTCTCCAAAAGAACATATAAAACACTTCAGTTATGTTTAGTCTTTTCCTGATAACCTATAACTTAATACTATGATTCAAAATTAATAATTACTGATAAAAAGTCAATATATCATATGTTACATAAGGGAATAAGAAAGGAAAGAAAACAATGATATTTGCTTAATATATGTATATACACAAACAAATATATTCATAACAAAATAAGGAGTAAATACCCATGGCGTTTATAGTTCTTCTAACTGGTTACATGTTCACAGCTAATATTTCTAATTACCTTCTTTTTTTACCCATTCTGTATTCACTTTGCCTTCACTAAGCACCTCAGCTGATTATTGTTCTGATGGAGTTACCTAAGGCTTCATTCCTGAAATCTTTGGGCGATTCAGAGTCCTGCCTGGACTGGGTTGTTACAGTTTTCTGACTTTAATTACAGGTCATGGTAATAACAAGAGACAATTTAAGAAATCTATATTCCAAACATACTCTCCAGTACCTCCACTGTGGAATAATAGTCCACTTTTCTGTTGTCAGTCAAGATTGATTATGCCAGTCAACATCAAACCTTCCTTGCTTGCCTGTTACTTCAGAAGCATATGAGGAGCCCCTTGGAGCTGGGTGATAGTGTCAATGTGCAGTTCGATAGAAGCACTGTGTCTTCTGCTGGAAGCATTTCTCCCTCTGGAACTAAAAACTCTAGGACAGAAAAGCATAAAGTCACAGGAAACATAGGCGCAAATTTTTCTAGAGAGGAAATAGAGATTTTAGTGGAAGTGGTGGCACTCCCATTTCTACCTCTTGTTTCTTGAGCTCATAAATCCTGGTGTCTCAGTCAGTTTTGAGCTGTGATAACGGAATATCTGAGACTGGGTAATTTGTAATGAAGAGAAATTTATTGGCTCACATTTCTGAAGGCTCGAAAGTCTAATATCAAGGTGCCAAGATCTTATGAGGGACTTCTTGCTGTGTCATCACATGAAGGAATGTGAGAGGGTGAGAAAGAGGACAAGAGGGGGCTGAACTCTCCTTCTTATATCAGCAACAATCTCACCCATGAGGGTGAAATCATCATGGCTTAATCATCTTTTAAGGTTTCCATATCTTAATGCTCTTACAATAGCAATTAGAATTTCAACATGAGATTTGGAGAGGACAGCCATTCAAACCATAGCATTCTACACCTGATTTCCAAAACTCATGTCCTTCTCATATAAAAAAATGCATTTATTCTATTCAGTAGAAATGTCTTAAATCTTTCCAGCAGTAGATCAAAGTTCAGTCTTGAGTAGAATCTAAATCAGATATTGGTGAGACTGAAGACATGGTTTATCCTGAGCCAAATTTCCCTTCATTTGTAAGCCTGTGAAATCAAACAAGTTATCTACTTCTAAAATGCAATGGTGGGACAGGCATATGATAGACATTTCCATCCTAAAAGGGAGAAATAAACAAGAAAAAAAGGTGGTAACTGGTCACAAATAAGTTTTAAACCCAACAGTGCAAATAACATCAAATATTAAGGCTCCAGAATAATCTTTCTTGACCCCATATCCTGCCTTCTGGGCACACTTGGGTGAGGGTTCAGCCCCCATCATCTTGGGCACCCTCACCCTTATAGCTATGCTGAGCTCAGCCCATGCAGCAGTTCTTACAGGTTGATGTTTCATGCCTACAGCTCTTCCCGACCAGCATTGCACACTGGTTGCTTTCAGTTCTGGGGCCTTGGAAGTAATCCTACTCTATAGCTCCTGTAGGCATAGCCCTAATGGTAACTCTCTGGTGACACTACCCCTGCAGCAGGTATCTGTTTGGGTCCACAGGTTATCTGATACATTCATTAATACCTAGGTGGAGACCACCATGGCTCTATAGCTTGAGCAGTCTGTGACACTGCAGAGCTAGGATCACATGGACAATACCAAAGCTAAGTATCCATTCCCTGGGGAGCAGTGGTCCAAGTGCCACCTTGGCTCCCTTGGCAAACCAGCAGTGCCCTGTTAGAATGCGGGAAGCAGAGACTTGAGGTGGCCCTAAGCAGCAAGCCAGAAAATCTTTAGGGCACCCTAGGCCTCTCTTGACATAATTTTATTTTCCAGGTCTTGGCTTTCTGAGCCTGTGGTGGGAGGGATGGCAGGAGTAATTTCCAAAGTGCCTTTAAATTCATTATTCTGTTGTCCTAATGAATAATGTGCAGTTTTGTTATATCCCCACTAATATCCTTAACAAATGGTCCTTTGGCCATATCTTTGGTTCCTCTCCTGAAAATGCTTTTTTATTTTTTTTAACCACAGGACCAAGATAAGAATCCTTCAAATTCCTAAATATCTGGAGAAATTAGGAAGTCTGGGATCTCCAACTATTTTCTTTTTCTTCTTCAATATTGTGGCTAGGCAGTCCTTTGAGATTTCATGTAAATTGTAGAGTGGATTTTTCTACTTCTAAAATAACATCATTAGGACTTTGACAGGGTTTGTATTTAATTTGTAGATAATTTTGTATAGTATTTTCATTTTGAAAATATGTTTTTCAACCTATAAATAAGGTATGTCTTTCCATGTATTGGTGTCTTGTTTAATTTCTTTCAGCAAAATTTTGTAGTTTTTTGTTTGTCTGTTTTGTAGAGATGGAGTCTTACTATTGCCCAGGCTGGTCTCAACCTCCTGTCATCAAGCAATCCTCCTGTCTCAGCCTCCCAAAGTGCTGAGAGTACAGGCATGAGCCAACATGCCTAGCCAGTAGTTTTTAATGTACAATTGTTCACCTCTTTGGTTAAGTTGATTTCTAAATGTTTTATTTTTTGAACTTGTAAATGAATTTCTTTTTGAATTGTTCATTGTTAATGTATACAAACACAAGTAATATTTGCATATTCATTTTGTGTCCTACAATTTGCTGAATTCATTTATTTGTTCTATTAGGGGTATTTTTCGTGGAATCTTTCAAGTTTTCTGCATTTAAGATAATGCCATTTGCAAACAGACACAATTTTACTGCTTCCTTTCCAATTTGGAAGACTTCTACTTTACTTATTTATTTATTTTTGCTTAACTCTTTTAACTAGGACTTCCCATACTATAAAAATAAAATTGAATAAAATAAAATAAAATAAAAATTATGAAAGGAGACATCCTTGTCTTTTTCCTGATTTTAGAAGAAAAGCTTTTAGTCTTTCACCATTGATTATGTTAACTGTGTTTTTTATATATGAATTTTATTATGTTGAAATAGTTTTCTTTGTTTCCTAGCTTTAACTTTTTGAATCAAGTGATGTTGAAATAAATTTTGTTCTGCAACAAGTAAGATGATTGATATTATTTTCCCCTTTATTCTGTTAATGTGGCATGTTACATTAATTGATTTTAGTATGGTAGAGCATCCTTAGATTTTAGCAGTTAATACTACCTGTTCATGGTTTATAATCCATTTAATATGCCATCACTTTTACATTGTGAGTAATTTTTGAGGATTTTTTTTATCAACATCCATCAGAGATAATGGTTTACAGTGTTTTGATAATGCCTTTGTCTTTGTTATCAGGGCCATGCTGACCTCACAGTATGAGTTTGAAAATATTCTATACTCTTAAATTTTTAAAAGAGATTAAGAAGAACTGGTGTTAGTTCTTCAAATGTGTTATAGAATTTACCAGTGAAGTCAAATGTTTGGGGATTTTCTTTGTTGTAAAGTTTTTAATTACTGTTTCAATCTTCTTAATAGCTATAGGTTTTTATAACATAGTAACATCTGGCAATCCTGTTTATTTCTATAAAGTCAATAGTCATGTCTTCTCTATTATGCCTGAATTAGGTATTTGAGTATTATCTTTTTTTGCTTAAGTCAATGAAGCTAAAGCCTTCTCAATTTGTTTATCTTTTTACAAGAATCATCTCATGATGTTATCAATTTTCTCAATTTTTAAATTATCTGTATTGTTTGTCTCCTGTCTTATTTTTGTTATTTTCATCCTTCTGCTAGATTTGTGTTTAAACTTTTCTTTTCCTAGTTTCTTAAGGTATAAAATTAGACTTTTGATTTGAGATTTTTCTTCCCTTTTAATATAATTGCTTATAGTTCTAAATTGTCTTCTTATTACTTTTTTTGCTGCATCTCATACCTTTTGGCTTGTTGTATTTAATTTTCATTTCTCCCATGATTTTTTAAATATTTTTAATAGTTACTTCCTAGATCTATTGGTTGGTCAAGAGTGTTTTTTTTCAGTTTTCACATATTTGTGAATTTTCCATTGTTCCTTTCGTTCTTGATTTCTGGTTGTATTCCACTGAGTTCAGATATGATATTTGTTGAATTTTAGTCTTTAAAAATTTATTGAAACTTGTTTCGGGGTGTAAAATATGAAATTTCCTGAAGATTGTTCCATAATCACTTGAAGAAAATGTATATTCAGTTCTCAATGTGAGGAGCATTCTGTATGTCTATTATGTCAACTTGGTCTGTAGTACTATGAACTTTCCTAGTCTCTACCAATTTTTTGTGTGCTCTTTCTGTTATCAAATGAAATACTCCTGTTTATGTCTCCAGCTATTATTGTAGAATTTTCTATATATTTGTTCAGTTCTGTGAATGTTTGCTTTACATACTTCGGAGCTTTGATGTTTGGTGCATATTTGTTTATAATTGTTATATATTCTTGGTTAGTTAAACCTCCTATCAACATATAATGTTCTTTTTTTGTCTCGTAACAGTTTTTTTACATAAAGACTATTTTATTCTAATATTAGTATAGCCACTACTACACTTCTTTGGTTATTAATATGCATGGAATATATTTCCCATCTTTTTATTTTCCACTATAATGAGTCTCTTGTACACAGAATGTAATTGGATTATTTTAAAACAATTCACCCACTTATCTATGCCTTTCAATTGAGGGATTTAGTCCATTTATATTTTTTAAAAATCCTTATAGGTAGGGGCTTATATTGCAATCTCGTTATCATTTTCTGCATGCTTATTAATTTTTGCATTCATCATTCCCTCCATTACTTCTTCTTTCTCTTGTTTAGTTGAGTTTTTGTTATAGCATGTTTTAATTCTCTTCTTATTTCTTTTTGTGTATATTTCATAGATATTTTCCTTGTGGTTATTATAGGGATTGAATATCATACCTTAAAGTCACAACAATCTATTTTAAATTGATATCAATTAAACTTTATTTGCATATATAGACTCTACTTTATCTCTCTGCCCTACTGCTATGTATTATTAATATCACAAAGTACATCTTTATATATTGTGCATTCATTAAGATAGACTTATACATTTTTATGCATTTTGTTTTTTTAAATTCTGAAGAAAAATTTATATTACAATAATCCTGGTTTTCATACTGTTGATGTATTTAACGTCACTAAATATAGTTATATTTTCATCTGGCTTCACATTAACATCTAGTATGCTTTCATTTTGGCTTGAAGAACTCTTTCTAGCATTTCTTGTAGGGCATGTCAGGTGTATTTTGATTGATAAGGTATGGACTAACAATTCTGAAACTAGTATAAATGCGTGCTAGAATAAACAAGTAAATGAATGTCAGATGTTGATAGCCTTGTTTCTTACTTCTGGAGAACAAGCAAATAAAAATAACTAGATTTATCATTGTTGTAATTGATTACTTAGAAACAAAAGTATGAACTAATAATTACTTCATATAGATAGAGATGATAAATGAGTAACCTTAGATTGATAAATATTTGTACACACATGGGCTAGCATACACGCATACCCCTATTGCTCTGCTAGCTGAGAAGACCTTGAAAAAAGGATACATCAATAACAATAAGAACACCCAGAAACCAGATCCAATAAACTTGGTCTGGTTTTTAGTACCTTTATCCAATAAACAGGAGCAGATTTACCTGGGAAATAATGGATTTTAGGACATTTTAAAAACTATAGAAGATAAACTTGGAGCATTGTGTAATGACAGAAAGTAAAGGAAATACTCAACAATTAAATGATAGGAAACACACACATGCACAATGATTGGGTATGCCAAATTAGCATAGGAGTTTACTTAAAGAGCTCCCAGCGGTGAATAGTGGCTCACCCATGTAATTCCAGCACTTTTGGAGACTGAGGAAGGAGGATTAGTTTAGGCCAGGATTTCCATAACAGTCTGGGCAACAGAGCAAGACTGAACTTGTGCAAAATATAAAACACCTGACTGTGTGTGGTGGCACATGCCTATAGTCCCAGTTATGTGGGACCTGAGGCAGGAGGATAATTTAGACCCCAGAGTTTGAGACTGCAGTGAACAATGATCACACAACTGCACTTCAGCCTGGGCAATAGAGCAAGACCCTGACTCAAAACAAACACAAAACAAAACAAAACAAAACAAAGAAAGAGATCTCAATAACCAAAGGTGGAAGAATTTGAAAAACAAAATGAATAAATTACATTGTAGTATAACATAAGGAAAAAACAAATATGTATGAGTCCACATTGACATAAATAAATGAATAAGTAACTAAATGAGGGACAATGAACAAATGTCCCATTCAGAAGAATTCCAAATAATTTAAATTAGATACTACCCCCACAAGGAGCTCCACTTCATAAGTGTTGGCTGAACATGAGGACATTCTTTTGAGCTGTATAGTACGTGAAGGGGTAAAAATACTGACTTTTATAGTTGAAGAACCCTGACAAACACTAACTTTGCCTAGTGATCAAGGTTAACATTGCCAGTGAGAAAGTGTGTTCATAGCATGTACCCTTGATATAATGTGACACAAAAGACACTTTACCTCCACAATCTTCTGGAAAAAAAAAAAACGTAACCAGTCTACTCATGTGACAAATAATTAGACATATTCCAATTAAGTGACATTCTACAAATTACTTGATTAGTACTTTACAAACCTGCCAATGTCATCAAAAACAAAGAAATTCTAAGATCTGTCATAGACAGGAGGAGCCTAAGGGGACATGATAACTAGTATAATGTGATATCCTGCATGAAGTCTTGTAATAGAAAAAACACATTAGTTAAAATTAAGAAAATTGAAAAAAGTATGGGCTTTAATTAACAGTAATGTATCAATATTGATTTGTCAGTTTTGAAAAATGTGCCTTACAAAGGCAATTTATTAATATAAGGGGGGAAACTGGGTGTTGAATACATGGGAATACTCTGAACTGTATTTGCAACTTTTCTGAAAATTTAAAGATATTCTAAAGAAAACATTACTTTCAAATGAGCTAATGCCAATGTCATCTTTCTCCATTTTTTTTTTCCTTTTTTAAAATCTCTGCTTCCTTCATCCACTTGATAGAGGTTCTTTGCCAAATCTCCTGCTACCAGGGCTAACTTGGGGAATTCTACTTCTTCTATTTTATTTTTCTATATTTAGTGAATTTTATGTCTATATCTTATTTATAGTGGTCAGTGAACCATATGCTATATACATTTTGGGCTTATTCTTTTCTGTCTTTTTTCTTAAAAGCCTCCATATTTTATGCTTTTACTGATCATTCATTCACTCTACAAATATTTCTTGTATATCTAATATATATACCTGGAATTTTGCTGGACACAAAAAATAGAATAAAGAAAACAAATAAGATCTTTTTTCTAATGAAATATACAGGGGAATTTAGAAAGTGTAGCATCTCTATTTATTAAGAATTCTAGATCAGTGGGCATATAGGCCTAGATTTAAAAAACTAAGTTTATCATTTGCTAGCTATTTTATCTTGATTAAATGACTTAATCCCCACAAACCTCAGTTTCTTAACCTATAAAATTGGGAGAAAATAATACCTGCTTCATAAGATTGCATGAGATTTAAATAGTTTACATAAAGGAATTACATGTACAGGTTAAAATTGCTTGATAAAAAGTTGACACTTTCAAAATTTGCCTTACTCCAGGCAAATCAGCTTTTAAAATAAATGCCTATGGGGCACGATTCTCACTTTGTCATTCTCCATTAAGTTCTGCTTGTCAACTATCAATGTTTATATTGTGTATGTGTTTACGTGTGTGTGTGTGTGTGTGTGTGTGTGTGTGTTCATTTCTTGTTTCTCATACTAGGGCAGGGCTTTTGCATTCTTTTATGCTATTTAGCACAGTTTCATGCATATACCAATGTTGCTGATTATGTGGCTAAAACCCTGATTTTTTTTCATTATTTAGAGAATACTTTATTAGTTTCTATAATCAAACCCATGTACATAAGACCTTACATATTTAATACAGTGTGTTACCCCTGTACAAATCGAAAAAAATAAGTTTAATGTTTGTAGACCAATATGGCCGTTAATTTCTGTACAATGCCAACTCAACACAGTAAACTGGGGTACTTTTTCCAAAGTTGACAGCACATCTAAAGTTTCCAAAAATTGAAATTATATATATGTGTGCATATATATATATAGATCAATAACAGCAGTATGTTACGGATCAATAGCAGCAACAGTTTTTCCAGGTTCTGCGGTCATCTGAACAAAATTATAGAGACATCCAGCACACTCCATTTAAAAAAATGGCGGGGGGAGGTAAAAAACAAAACCCCAGAAAACTACAAAGTTCTGTTACTGTTGTGGTACCTGGCACCATTTTTTAAAATTAGCTTCTGAATCATCATGTGGAAAGAAAACATTCTAGAATAACCTAATTAAAAACAGCTCTTATAAAGTATGGTCACTACTAAGTATCATCAAGCAAGTACAAGATATTTTACATTCACAGAGGTATGATACAGTACTGTCCTATATCTATAATACTAGAGGATACAATTAAAAAGGCATTATTCGAGAGTTGATTCTACTTTTCCAGAAGGGGGCCCAAAGGACGGCATGACACAGCTCTGTAAAGAAATGCACCTTCTTAGGATTTCCTTTAATTAGGGGCACAGTTCTAGGTAGTCACTGTTCTTCATGAACATCAGCTAAAAACTGGTGTGATTCAAGTAAAACTCCTGAAACACTGGCCAACCCTCCTGGTGTCTGTCACGGAAAAGTAGAAGAAAAGCCACCCACTGCACCATCCATAGCCACCAAACCTGTTAGAACTGGACCAATCAAACCTCAGATGATCAAAACTGAAGAAACAAAATCTTAAAGGCTATGGTTTATTGCAGGTGATTGGGAGATGGAGAGGGAAAACATGGAGGATTAAGTCATATAATGCCAGAAGCCAAAGGGGCAAAATGGTCTGTAACATTTTCCTGTTCAGAGCTTGGAGATGTACAAGGGACATAGGAGGAATTTACACTGACACACAGCTGCTATACCAGTAAAAATGAGGCTTTGCAAGCTTGCACCTACTATGTTAACATGCGCTGGGCTGATGGCTATGCATCTTCAGTCAGAATTTATATATAAATATATGCACACATTTTTTTTGAGTACATATAATTTAGACCTAAAAATCCTTATGATTAGATGAAACACCAAAAATATAAGGAAAATAAGACTGCAGAGGAATAACTCAGCCTGAACAATATCGTGGTCCCAGCTAATACATCAGGTGTGGTTTTTTTTGCTCCCCTATGTTCTTTGGATATGGTTATGGTGTTTGTAGGCTTGGAGGTGAAGAACTGAAGATTACTGGTACTGGATAGAGGAACTTTATTTTTCATTATGGCAGCTTGCTGTTTTTATAACATGATGATTGAGTTGAACACAATCACAGTACAGTAGTAACTGATCTCCCCTTCTTCCTGGATGAGTGAGCAGATGATTAAATATTGATGTCAGCATCGTTGAACCGTATCAAAGTGAACAGTGTTTGGCTGCTGCTTCTGTTTGAAATGATGCTGTGTTTTGGTTGTGGTCCGAAGCTTTGAAGCACTACTTGGCATCTCCTTTCTTCCATGGAGCTCTCACCATTCAAACATGACAGATTTGTTAAAATACTACTTAGGTTGAGTCTTCCTTGCCCCCACTCAGTCATCATTGCTAGAAACCTGTGGTTTTGGGGTTTTTTTCTTTTTCTTCCTTTTTTTTATACCAGTTTAAAACCCTGATATTTTTATGGAAATAAACTGTTTGGCTATCCATTCAGATAAATACCACCACCATTTGCTAATGAAGACCTGTGGACAGGATTGCACCATGCATTGGAAAGAACCCATATATATTCTTAATTCCTCTAATATTTACTTTTTTTTTACCAACCAGCTACAAGATGAATTTTTCATTCCACTAAAGTCAAAGTTCCTGGAGAATCTCATTTTCATTTTTAAAAGTGGATATAATATAACAAGGGAAAACAAAGACAATACAAAATGTTAATTCAAATAGAAAAAAAAACAGCTGTTTATTTCCTACAGAGTAAAAGATAAGAAATTCTCACAAAAATTTAATTTTATTTAATATTGATATATTAATTCATGACAACAAAAGAATGCTGGGTTCTCTTGAATTTGAAAAGGCAGCTGTGATCAGTGTTAAGCAAACTTGATGGTCCATATCTCATATTTCAGCTGTCATCACACAGTATTACAAAACTCATGGTCAGAATTACAGATACCACTTACTTTTGTTGCTGATTGAAATGTACTGTTCAGCACAGAAACAGGGAAGGACCTCTTCATGTTAATAAAATTTTTCAAAAACTTTGACAAAGATTTTCTCCTTACATTTTGTGTTCAGTGATAAGAAGAAAATGAAGGGACATGGTTGCTGCTTATTAATAAACATAGTAATACGTATAAAACTGCCTGAGACTGCTATTTATTTTATTTCAGTTCTAGCACCAATTATATAATATTCTCTCGAAAACATAGCACTTGAAGTTTTCTGAGTATGTTCCTTAGAAAGTTGGGTATTTATCATCACAAAGTGTGTAACTTACCTAGTGAATTGTTCAAAAGATATGACATTTTTTTCCCTGAAGTATTGGTATAATTCTTACATTCTTTGAAACTGCTTGTTTTACTTCTGTCTATTATAGAACACAAAATTTTAGTTTTGTAAGACACCTGGAGACAATCTATTACAAATCATTTATTTTACAGATGAGGAAGCAGACATTATAGACTTTTTTCAACATTTTCTCAAAATCCATACGTTAGTAGATGTCATTTTAAATAAATGTACATAAACTAAGTTCAATGTCACCTATGATATATTGTCTAAAAAGTGTAGGGTATACTTCAATTTATTATACAATTAATACACATAATAACTATTATTGCTGAATTAAGGCAAAAATAGGCTAAGCATCAAAAACAAAAAAGCAGTTTTATAGGTAATATAATAATATAAAGAAGAGTTTCAAAAGAATATAAAGATTATAGCAGTAATTCAGCCATAATGATGAATGCACTTCTTTCTAAGGAACATAATTAAAATATCCAGGCTGGGCGCAGTGGCTCACGCCTGTAATACCAGCACTTTGGGAGGCTAAGGTGGGCAGATCACCTGAGGTCAGGGGTTCAACACCAGCCTGGCCAACAAGATGAAACCCCACGTCTACTAAAAATACAAAAATTAGCTCGGCGTGCTGACAGGTACCTGTAATCCCAGCTACTTGGGAGGCTGAGGCAGGAGAATCGCTCGAACCTGTGAGGTGGAGGTTGCAGTGAGCTGAGATCGTGTCACTGCACTCCAGCCTGGGCAACAGAGTGAGACCCTGTCTCAAAAAATAAATAAATAAATAATTAAAATATCTACAGAACCTGTGAAACTGGACATTCTTGCTTAAAACAAAAGATTTTTATGCTTTAGAGACCTCTTTGTGGAAAATTTAGAATCTACTTCTTGATCAACCTTGAACAGACAGCAACTAATATATAACTAGTTTTGTTACTGTTATCGTTTTTGCTGTTTGCTGTGCCCTGGGAATTGGAGGTATTTATTGTGATGGAATATAGGAAGACATTAGGAAGTAGTTATTTGAATTAGGAATTATGCTTCTAAATTAATTTTGTAAATAAAAGTACAAAAATGGAGTTGTTATTTTCATGTATCTTCAAATCTATAGAATGTTTGTTTACTACGAAGTGTTTTATTTCTTAAAGGATTCACATTCTTCCCACTTAGAAACGGTAAGAGTGAGTTCCTTGACCTAGATAGAAATTCTATCCTGGGCTAAGGCCCAACATTTTAATCTGTTCTTGGCAGTCCTTTTATTTTAATGAAAGGTGTTTGATTCATTTAGAATGCAGATTTTTTTCTCTTGATTAGTTGTTGTGCAATCTACTTTGGAGCTGAAATTAAATATTCTCGGAGCAAACTCAGAATGGGAGCAAGACGGCAGCAGCATAGAAGGTGCCACTGATTGGCCCCCACCCAACGACACCAATTTAACAACTATCTACACACAAAAAGCCCCTTTGTAAGAAACAAAAATCAGCTGAGTACTCAAAGTACCTGGTTTCAACTACTTATTGCTGAAAGGGACAGTGAAAAGGTAGGAAAAACAGTCTTGAATCACCAATGCCACCCCTCTTTCCACCCACTGGCAGTGCTAGTGTGGTGTGAAGAGCATTTTTGTTGTTGTTGTTGTCGTGGGGGAAGGGATTGACTCAGTGCTGCCCTGTTATAGCAGAAGCAAAACTGGACCAAACTTAGCTGACACCTGCCCACGGAGGGAGCATTTAAGCCTGCCCTAGCCAGAGGGGAATTGCCAATCCCAGTAGTCCAAACTTGACTTCCAGCAAGCCTCACTACTGAGAGCTGAAATAAATTTGAAAGGTAGCCTCTGTCACAAAGGCTGCAACTCCTAGGCAAGTCCCTGTACTAAACTAGGCCCAGAGCTGGTGGACTGGGGGCAGGGACACATGACCTATTGAGATGCCAGGTAGGGTGGTTAAGAGAGTGCTGGAATCGCCCCTCTTCTGACCCCAGGCTACACATCTCATGGCTCCAAAAGAGACTGCTTCCTTCTACTTGAAGACAGGAGAGGAAAGAGGGGGGAGGACTTTATCTGCATCTTGAATACCAGCTCAGCCACAGCAGGATAGGGTACCAATCACAGTTGTTAGGCTCCCTTTCCAGGACCTCAATCCCAGATAACATTTCTAGACACCCTGGGTCTGAAGGGAACCCTCTGACATGAAGAAAAAGATGCAGTTTTACCAGCATTTGTCACTTGCTAACTGAAGAGCCCTTGGACCCTGAATAACCAGCAGTAATATCCAGGTACTACATCAAAGACCTTGGGTGAGACTCAGATTTGGAGGCTTCAGGTGAGACTTAGCATATTCCCAGCTGAGGTGGATACAAGGTGAGAGACTCCTTCCACTTGAGAAAAATGGAAGGAAAAGTAAAGGGCACATTGTCTTGCACTTTAGATATCAGCTTAAACACAGAAGGGTAGAGGATCAAGTGGGCTATTGGAGTCCTCAGTTCTAGGACTGGGCTCTTGGAAGACATTACTAGACCAGCTCTTTGTGAGAGGAGAACCTACTGCCCTAAAGGGGGAGTCCAAGTGAGGCAGCATTTACCACAAGCTGATTGAAGAGCCTTTGGGCCATAAGGGAACATCGGAGGTAGTCTGGCAGTACTCCCCACATGTGGAAAAATTCCTAGACACATACAATCTACCAATAATTAACCATGAAGACATCCAAAACCTGAATTTTCCAATAAGAAGTAATGACATCAGAGCCATAATAAAAATTATCCCAGTAAAGAAAAACCCAGGACATGATAGCTTCACTGCAGAATTCCACCAAACATTTAATGAAGATGTAATACCAATCATATTCAAGTAATTTTGAAAGTTAGAGGGGGAGAAAATACTTCCAACCTCCTTTTATGAGGCTAGTATTACCCTAATACAAAAACCAAAGACACGTCCACAAAATAAAACTACAGACAAATATCCCTGACGAATATTGATGCAAAAATCCTCAAGAAAATAGTAGCAAATATAATTCAACAATATATTTAAAAGATCATTCATCATACCCTAGTGGGATTTGTCACTGCGATGCAAGGATGGTTCAACATGCACAAATCAATGTGATAAATCATCATCAAAATGAAGCACAAAAGTTATATGAACATTTCAATTGATGCTGAAAAGGCATTTGATAACATTAAATATCCCTTCATAATAAAACCCTGAAAACAGTGGACACAGAGATAATATACCTCAACCTAATAAAAGCCATATATGACAGACCCACAGCTATTATCATACTGAATGGGAAAAAACTGAAAGCTTTCCTTTAAGATCTGAAACATGAAAAGAATGCCCACCTTCACCACTGTTCTTCCACGTAGCACTGGAAGTATTACCTAGAGCCAACAAACAAGAGATAGGAATAAATGGCTTTCAAATTAAAAATAAATAATTCAAATTGTTCTTATTTGCAGATAGTATGATCTCATACTTGGAAAAACCTAAAGACTCCACCAAGAAACTACTAGAAGTGATAACAAATCTAGTAAAATCACAGATATAAAATCAATATGCAAAAATCTGTAGCATTTATATATGGCAATTGTGAACAATCTGAAAAGGAAATCAAATGTAATTCAATTTATGATCACAAAAAATAAAACTAAATTCTTAGAAATTAGCTTACATGAAGAATTAAAAGATCTCTCTAAGTACAATTATAAAACACTAATGAAAGAAATTGAAGAGGATACCAACAATTGCAAAGATATACCACATTCTTGGATTGGAGGAATCAACATTGTTAGAATGTCCATAATACCGAAAGCAATCTACAAATTCAATGAAATCTCTATTAAAATAACAATGACATTCCTCACAAAGATAGAAAATAATCCTAAAATTTATATAAAACCACACACACACACACACACACACACACACACACACACACACACACAAAATAGCTGGAGCTATCCTAAGCAAAAAGAACAAAACTGACTTCAAATTATACTACAGACCTATAGTAACCAAAACAGCATGGTACTGTAATAACAACAGACACATAGACAAATGGAACAGCAGAGAGAACCCAGAACAAAAACCACAGACATGCAGTGAATTCATTTTATACAACAGTGACAACAACATACACTGAGGAAAAGAGTCTCTTCAATAAATGGTTCCGGGGTAAGTAGATATTCATCTGCAGAAGAGGGAAACTAGACCCCTATCTCTTTTTTTTTTTTTTTTTTTTTTTTTTTTTTGAGACGGAGTCTCGCTCTATCTCTTGCCTTATACAAAAATCAAATCAATATGTATCAAAGACTTAAATCAAAGACCTCAACCTGTGAAACTACAGCAAGAAAACATGAAGGGAACTCTCCAAGACATTGGTCTGGGTAAACATTTGTTGTGCAGTACTCCACAGGCATAGGCAACCAAAGCAAAAATGGACAAATAAGGTTACATCAAGTTAACAAGCTTCTGCACAACAAAGCTGGAAATGATTAAGGAAACCATTAACAACATGAAAAGGCAACCTACAAATTGGGAGAAAATATTTGCAAACTACACATCTAGGAAGGGATTAATAACCAGAATATATAGGGAGGTCAAACAGCTCTATAGGAAAAAATCTAATAATCTGACTGAAAAATGGGCAAAATATCTGAATAGGCATTTTTCAAAAGAAGAAATACAAATGGCAAACAGGCATATGAAAAGGTGCTCAACGTCAATGATCATCAGAGAAATGCAAATCAAAACTGCAATGAGATTAGTTAAAATGGCTTATATCCAAAACACAGGCAATAACATAGGCTGGCAAGGATGTGGAGAAAAGGGAACCCTCCTACGTTGTTGGTGGAAATGTAAATTAGTACAACCACTATGGCAAATAGTTTGGAGCTTCCTCAATAAACTAAATATTGAGCTGTCATATGATCTAGCAATCATATGGATAGAATTGAAGGTCATTATGCTAAGTGAAATAAACCAGGCACAGAAAGACAAATATCACATGTTCCCACTTATTTATAGAATCTAAAATTCAAAACAATTGGATTCATGAAGAGAAAGTGTAGAAGAATGGTTAACAGAAGCTGGGAAGGGTATTGGGAGTGTCAGGGGCAAGTGGGGATGGTTAATGGGTACAAAACTGTTAGAAAGAATAAATGAGACCTAGTATTTGATATCACAACAGGGTGACTGTGGTCAATAAGTTAATTATATGTTTAAAAATAACTAAAAGAACAGAATTTTTGTGTAACAGAAATATAAATGCTTGAGGATATGGATACTCCATTTTACATGACATGATTATTACAATTTGAATGCCTGTATCAAAACACCTCATGTACCCCATAAATATATACACATACTATATACACATAAATAAATAAATAATGTTTAAAAATTTAGGTAGCAAGATTGTGCACTGAAGGAGAACACCAGGAATAGATACTGTGTCCATAGGCTTCCATTTTACAAATATTGCTGAAATGCTCTGAGACAGAAGTATAATAATGTTGTCAATTAATATATAAAGTCTGCAAATTTAGCATAGATTTTCATTTCTTCATCTTATTTTCTACAGCATTCCCAAAATATGCTTAAAATATTTGTGGGCTCTTGATTAGAGAAGAAAACAATTATGTCACACAATTGTTAATAGTGATTAATTTTTCATTACAAATAAAAAGTTACTGTTATTTTTATTTTTATTTTTTAAGAATTATCAATTTATTCTTACAATAGCTGAACACATTGTATATGCCTTTTATTTCTATATTCTTTAATCAGACAACTTCAAAAGATGAGTGTATATAGATTGAACAATATTGTTATTTCCAGCTTCAATGAGGTATAAATGAAATATTTAAATTTTATATTGTAGATCTACAAATGAAGATTTGACCTTTTTATACATTGGTGTTTTACTAATTTTTAATTTTTTGTTTTGTGGGTACATAGTAAGTGTATATATTTTGGGGTACATGAGATGATTTGATGCAGGCATGAAATGTGTAATAATCACACTATATGAAATGGGGTAGCCATCCTCTCAAGCATTTGTCTTTTGTGTATCATATTCCATTGTGTACATATTTATCACACTTTCTTTCTTCATTTATTCATTGATGGACACTTAGGTTGCTGCTATATCTTGGCTACCACAAATAACGTTTCAATTAATAATAGAATGCAGGCCAGATATGGTGGCTCCTGCCTGTAATCACAGCACTTTAGGAGACCAAGGAGGGCAGATCACCGGAGGTCAGGAGTTCAAGACCAGCTTGGCCAACATGGTGAAACACTGTTTCTACTAAAAATACAAAAATTAGCCAAGCATGGTGTCAGCTGCCTATAGTCCTAGCTACTCAAGAGGTTGAGGCAGGAAAACCGCTTGAAACCTGGAGGCAGAGGTTGCAGTGAGCCAAGATTGAGCCCCTGCACTCCAGCCTGGGCAACAGAGTGAGACTCCATCTCAACAACAACAACAACAAAATAATAATAACAATAATAGAAGGCAGATATCTTTTCTAGAAGGTGGTATGATTTCCTTTGCATATATACCCGGAAGTGGGATTTCTGAATCAGATAACAATTCTAATTTTTTGGGAATGCTTCATACTGTATGCTTCTGTTTTATTCAAAAAATCATTGCCAAGACCAAAATCATGGACCTTTTCCCCTTTATGTTACCCTAGGTAATTTATAGTTTCAAGTATTACATGTGTCTTTAATCTATTTTGAGTTGATATTTGTGTATATTGTAAGATAAGGGTTGAATTTTATTCTTTTCTATATGAATATCTAATTATTCCAACCGCATTTGTGGAAGAGACAATTTGTTCCCCATTGTGTATTCTTGGCAACACTGAGAAACGTAAGTTCAACATACATGATTGCATTTATTTCTCAACTTTCTGTTCTGTTCTACTGGTCTGTGTGTCTGTTTTCATGCCAGTACCAGAGTGTTTTTATTCCCATAGTTTTCTAATATATTTTGAAATTAGAGCGTGTCATGACTCTTGCTTTGTTGTTCTTGGTCAAGAGTGCATGTGCTATTCAGGTCTTTTGTTGGTTCATGCAAATTTTAGGATCTTATTGTTCATATAGCATTGAATCTGTAGGTCACTTGGGATAGCATGGAAATTTTGGCAGTATAAAATCTTTCCAATAGCATGCATGGACATATTTTTTATTTATTTTTGCCTTCTTCAATTTCTTTCATTAATATTTTATAGTTTTCAGTGTATACAACTTCGACCTCCTTGGTTAAATTTATTTTTTGATATTTTATTCTTTTTGATGCATGCAATTGTAAATGGGATTTTCTTCTCAATTTCTCTTTAGATAGTTCAATGTTAACATATAGAGATACAAATGATTTTGTGTGTTCATTTCTTATTCTGCAATTTTATGGGATTTTTAATGAGTTCTAACTATTTTTGGTGTAGTGTTTAGTGTATTCCATATATAATGTCCTGACATCTGCAAACAGAGATGTTACTGTTTTCTTTATGATTTGGATGACATTTATTTTCTTTTCTTGCCTAATTGTTTTTGCTAGGACTTCCAGTACTATGGTGAATAAAAGTGGCAGGAGTGTGCATCCTTGAATTCTTCCTGATCTTACAGAAATAGCTTTCAACTTTTTACTGTGGAGTATGATGTTAGCCATGGGCTTGTGATACATGGTCTTTCTTGTGTTTAGGTACATTTCTTCTATATTTAATTTGTTGTGAGTTTTTATAATGAAATATCTTCAATTTTATCCAAAGATTTTTCTACATCTCATGAGATGATTCATTCTGTTAATGTGGTGTGTTCCATTTGTTGATTTTCAGATGTTGAAACATTCTTGCATCTCAAGGGTAACTTCAACTTGATGATGTTATATGATCTTTTTAATGTGTTGTGGAATTTAGTTTGCTAGTGTTTTGTTGAAGACTTTTGCATCTGTGTTCATCAGGGTCATCATCCTCTCTTTTCTTGTAGTGTCTTTGTCAGGTTTGGTATCAGAGTAATGCTGGCCTCATTAAATGACAATTTTAAGTGTTTCTTTTCATTTTTTTTGGAAGAATTTGAGAAGGATTGGTATTCTTCATAAAATGATTGGTAGCATTCAGCAATGAGGCTATCAGGTCCTGGATTTTATTTGATAGGAGGTATTTTTATTACTGATTAATTCTCCTTTCTCATTATTGGTCTGTTCAGATTTTCTGGTTTTTCTGATTGAGTCTTAATAGGTTTCACATGGCAAGAAATTTATCCATTTCCTCTATGTTATCCAGTTCATTAGTCTATAATTGTTCATGTAGTTTCTTATGATTACTTGTATTTCTGTGGCATCAATTTTAATATTTCCTCTTTCATTTCCAGTTATATTTATTTGAGTCTTCTCTTCTTAGTAAGCTTAACTAAAGGTTTTTTTCAAAATTTTATCTTTCAAAAAATGAATGCTTGACTATTTTCATCTTATCTATTGTTTTTCTAGCCTCTATTTCTTATTTCTGCTCTATTATTTATTATTTCTTTTCTTCTACTAACATTGGGCTTAGTTCACTCTTCTTTTTCTACTTCCTTGAAGTGTAACATTAAGTTGTTTACTTGAGATCACTCTTCCTTCTTGATGTAAATATTTTGTACTACAATTTCTCTTTGAACTACTTTTTATGAATCCCGTAAATTTTGGTATATTGTATTTTCATTTTAATTTGTTTCAATATAGTTTTAAATTTTTCTTTTGATCTTCTTTGACCCATTGTTTGTTAAGGAAAATGTTTTTGGATTTTCAAATATTTATAAAGTTTCCAATATTCCTCCTGTTATTGATATAAAATTTAATACCATTGTGATGAGAAAAGATACTTCATATGACTTCAGTTATCTTATATTTGTTAAGACTTGTCTTGTGGCATTACATATGGTCTACTATGGAGACTATTCCATGTGCACTAGAGAATAATGTGTATTCTGCTGCTGTAAGATCTAATTTCTGCATGTCTCTTTGGTTCATGTGATCTAAAGTGTAGTTGAAGGCCAATATTTCCTTCTTAATTTGCTGTCTGGATGATCTATTCATTGATCAAAGTCAGGTATGTACATCCCCTATATTTATTGCATTGCAGTTTGTCTCTCCCTTCATATATATGAATATTTGTTTTATATATTTAGATTTTCCAATGCTGGATGCATAAATATTTAAAATTACTACATACTCTTGATGAATTGACTATGTTATCATCGTATAACCACATTCCATGTCTTTTTGTTTTGGGTTTTATTTTCATGGAATATCTTTTCTCCATCCCTTCACTGTCAGTCTATGTGTCCTTAACACCAAAGTAAGTCTCTTATAAGCAACATGTAGGTGGGTTTTGCTTTTTATCCATTCAGACACTCTACATCTTTTGAGTAGAGAATTTAATTCATTTCTATCCAAGGCAATTATTGATAGGTAAGGAATTACTAATTCCATTTAGTTTATTGTTTTCTGGTACTTTTGTTCATTCTTTGTTTTTTACTTCCTCCATAACTGTTGTTCTTTGTGATTTGATAATTTTCTGTAGTGATATGCCTTACTTTTTTCTCTTTTCCTTTTGCATATCTCCTATAGATTTTTGTGGTTATCATGAGGCTTATATAAAACACCACATTTATTTATAACAGGCTCTTTTGAGCTGATAACAACTTGAGTTTCATCACATTAAAAAAATCTACACTTTTATGACCCTACCCACATTTTATGTTTTTGATATCACAATTTACACCTTTTTATATTGTGTATCCCTTAAAATTAATTGGAGGTATAGTTATGTTTAACAGTTTTGTCTTTTAGCCTTTACACTAAAAGTATATAATTTTAACACAACCATTACAGCACTACAGTATTCTGAGTTTAACTATGTACTTACTTTTACCAGTATGTTTTATATGATCATATGTTTTCATGTTACTAATTAGCATTCTTTTGTTTTAGCTTGAAGAACTTTCTTCAGAATTTCTTGTAAGGATTTAGTGGTGATGAACTCCCTGAGCTTTGCTGTGTCTAGAAAGCCTTTACCTGTCCTTTATTTCTGAAGGATAGATTTGCCAGGTAAAGTATTCTTGCTTGCCAGTATTTTTTTTCTTTTAGTACTTTGATATATCACCCCATTTTCTCCTCATTTGAAAAGTTTCTGCTATAAAATCTGATGATAGCCAAATTATGTTCCTTTTTATGTGAGTTTGTAAAATTTTCTCTTCCTGCTTACAAGAATCTCTCTTTGCCTTATACTTTTGTCAATTTGTTTACAATATGACTTTGTGTAGTTTTGTGTGAATTGAACAGATTGGAGACTTTCGAGCTCTTTGTACCTGAGTATTTAAATCTTTCTCTAGATTTGAGAAGCTTTCAGCCATTATTTATTTAAATAATATTTCTATCCATTTCTCTCTGTCTTTTCCATCTCAAATTCTTGTGATGTGAAAGTTAGCCATTTTGATGCTGTCCCATAAAGTCCATACTTTCTTCATTCTTTTTACTTTTAAAAACTGATTGTATATTTTCAAATAACCCACATTTGAGTTAATAGATTGTTCTTTCTGTTTGATGAAATCTGCTATTGATAATCTCTATTACATTTTTCATTTCCTTCATTTTGATTTTTAGTTCCAGAACTTCTCTTTGGTAATTTCTTATACAGCTTTAATCTTTTTGTTAAACTTATTTTGTTCATTTATTATGTTACAGATTTTGTTAAATTGTCTCTGTTTTCTTTTGAAATTTGCTGAGGTTTCTTAGAACAATTATTTTGGATTATTTTTCAGGCAATTTAAAGATCTCCATTTTTTGTGGTCTGTTACTGGGAAATTATTGTATTCTTTAGTAGTAATATGTTTCCTTGGTTTTTCATGTTTCTTACTGCCTTGCATTGATATCTGCACATGTGATGGAGTAGTCGCCTCTTCCAGAGTTTATTGAAATACTTTCCATGAGGAAAGTCTTTCCTCGGTAGGTAGTTGAAAGGACACTGTTTGAGTGGTTGTGGAGGTTCTGGCTCTGGTTTGGGCACAGCAGCATAGTTTCCATGCAAATCTCCCAGCTAAGTTTGACGTTGGCAAAGATTGCAGTGGTTTTTAACAGCCAAGGCTGAAAGTATCTGCAGTGGTGATGAAGGCCATTAAAGTTTTTAATGGTGAAGGCTGTTGGGTCTTTCTCATCATTTTTTTTTTTCTACCAGAGAAGTCATGGCCCTGATGATCTTTATTAGCACTGGATCCAGCTTAATGGCATGTTTCCCCTGGTGTCTCATGAACATTGCCTAAGAAGCAGCCATGGAGCTTGGATCTGAAGCATGGGCACACATGGAAAGATCAAGACTCTAGGGTCCTGGGCTGCCATGACAATGGTGCCTCATGTACAGAAACCCTCATTGCCATATTGGTAATAATGTGTGAGGTATAGGTGTTTGTGAAGTAGTTGGGGAATTGAAGTATGGAGCACAAATGTGTGTAGGACAACAATAGCAATGCAGTTTTCTGTGCAGACTATCTCATAGTAACATTGTTTCTGAGTTTTAGGTGCAGGTGTGTGCAGTACAGCAATGGGGCTGGAGTTTGGAGTGTTAGCACATGAATGGCTATAGTAGCCTTAGGGACTGGAGAATGGGTTAGCTGTGAGTGTGGCTCAAACACCAGATACATTACTTTCATGGGGTGGCTACAGGGCAATGACCTGTAGTTTATGCAAAAACAGAGTAACTGTAGGGTTTAGGGCCTATGATGGTGCTAGTCCTTAACTATGGTAGTTCCAGTGTTTAAGATGTGGATGTTCACTGGTAAGCACAGAGAGATTACAGAGCCATGGTCTAGAATGTGGACACTGGTGAAGTGGCTACATCTCTGTGGTGCTTGGTGGGGGGGAGCAGCATGCACAGGGTTGGGAGGGATGGCAGCTTCAGTCCTAGAGTAGCACAGTTTTGACTTCTGGGTGGCCATGGTGCAACCACATCTTCCTCTATGGGGGTCTGCAGTGGTGATGGCTATTTGTTACCTCAGTGATGAAAGGTGCCAGTATCCTCTGCTGATCAGGCCATTGGAGTCTGCAGTGGAACCCAACATGTGGCTGACATGGATAGCCATCACACTTCTTTACTCTTAGTCATCTCCAGACATTACAGATATGCCACTTTCATCATATATCCTTTCTGTGCAGTTTTTTTCCGTTTTTTTTTTCTACTTTGTTACTGTTTATTCTGGAAAGGATCCTTAAGCCCTGTCAAGGCTATTTTTGTTTATGTTTTGTTGTTTTGTTGTTGGTGGTGGTGGTGGTGGTGGAGGAGCAGGATGAAAGCAGGTATCTCCTACTGTGCCACATTCCCGATGTCACTGTTCCAAAGCTTGCCTTAGGCATTCTGATGATCTATCATTAAATACATATATATTAAAGACTACTGTGTATTTGTAGAAAATTAACCCATTTATTTATTTATTTATTTATTTATTTATTTATTTATTTATTAAGAGATGGAGTTTTCACTCTTGTTGCCCAGGCTGAAGTGCAGTGGCACGATCTCCACTCACTGCAACCCCCACCTCCCAGGTTCAAGCAATTCTCCTACCTCAGCCTCCCGAGTAGCTGGGATTACAGACACAAGCCACCACGCCTGGCTAATTTTTTTTTTTTTTTTTTTTTTTTTTTTTTGGATTTTTAGTAGAGACTGAGTTTCACCATGTTGGCCAGGCTGGTCTTGAACTTCTGACCTCTGGTGATCCACCCACCTCAACCTCCCCAAATACTGGGATTACTGGCATGAGCCACCGTGCCCGGCCCCTTTATTGTTATGTAATACCTCTTTTAATGTTTTATTTCTTGTTTTGAAATCTACTCTGTCTGAAATCAGTGTAGCTAAGCCATCCTTTTCTTAAACTAGTGTTATCATGGCATCTTTTCCTACATTTCTGTACTTTTAATCTATCTGCGTCTTTATATTTAGAGAGGATTTCTTATAAACCACGGTTTAATCTTTCTTTTTATCTACTCTGAAAGTCTGTCTTTACATTGGTGAGTTTTAACCATTCACATTTAGAGTGATTACTGATATAATGAGATTAATATCTAACACACTTGTTAATTGTTTTCTATTTCTTACACTTGTTCTTTGTTTTTAGTTTTGTTATCTTTTTTCTTTTTGATTTTAATTCATCATTTTATGTATCTTTATTTTCTCTTCTCTTTTATCACATCAATTATTCTTATTCTTGATTTTGTTATTGGTTTCCCCAGAGTTCACAATGTAGCTTACTTTCACATAACACTATATCATTTTACAGTTTAGAAGGGTGGTTACCAGAGATCAGGAATGGGGGAAATGAGATATTGGTAAAAGGGTACAAACTTGAGGTTTTAAGATTTATAACTTTTGAAGATCTTATGTACAGCATGGGGACTACAGTTAATTACAATGTATTATATACTTAAAACTTGCTAAGAGAGTAGATCTTAAGTTTTTACCACACACACAAGAAAAAGTAGCTATGTGAGTAATGGATATGTTAATTAGCTTTATTGTGGTAAGCATTTCACAACGTATACATATTTCAAAATGTCATGTGGTAGACCTTCAATATATACAATTTTTATTTGTCAATTATACCTCAGTGAAGCTGGGAAGAATCTAAGTCATTTAGAGTGCTCGTGTCCCTGGGTTGTGAGTTTCACATGTCCTCTGTGGTTCTATAGCTATTTGTTTTCCACCTAGATAAGACAGAAAGCCTAGAAGGAGATAAACTTGGTTAAGTGTCTTTCTTCTAGTTTGGATGAGACCTTGGTGAAATTATTTCTTTTGCAGAAATGCCCTTTGTCATGATGAATATGTTGTGCATATTTTAAATGGTTACCTTTTCCATCTCCTTGCCATAAAAAGGAAGATTTTAGGGTTTTTTTTTTCTCTTTACCATGAGAAACTGGTGAGTTCCTGGAGGTAAAACTTACAAAAATGTGGACTTTCCCTTAGAAATATGACCCCCAGACATTTATCACTTTTGCTGTAGTGCACACTCAGCCTCCATCAATTTTTTATAATTATTGTTTTAGTGATCCTGTCAGTTTATGGTTCTATCTTCTGCTCTAGGTAAGCTGATATGCGCTGTGGCTTCTGAATTCATCATTCACTTCAAGTTTTCAGTGGCAGTTTGGCACTGTCACCTCAATTCTCTAACTGGTCCAAGAAAAATTCCTGCTTGAATTAAGTGATATGTTATGACCACAAATTAGAAAACAATATTATAAAGTTAAATTTCTCCCCCAAATGATCTGTATATGTAGATTCAACAAAATACAGGATAGGACATCTCTTCATTTATTTCTGGGTTCTCTATTCTGTTCCATTGGTCTATATGCCTATTTTGGGGAAGTTTCAACATTTTATATACATACATAATACTTACATACAAAGTCAACATTGTGATAATGCACTTTTGTGGCATCAAATTGATAAAAAATACATAAAATCAATTAGAACCCTCCAAAAGTCTCTACACAATTTCAACCTCCAGTATTGGAAATGAAGTGAAGATGAAATATAGTATAGCAAATTGCAAAAAAAAAAGTACTGATAATTTAAAATAGTGAAGAAACCTGAAAAAAGAAAAAGAAGATAAAAATGACTAAAAAGAAAATTTTTAACATATGAAAAAGTGTATCACAGGGATAGTTTATGGGCAGTTTCACGGAGATACTCCCTAAGAGATAACTGAGTTTTATGATCATTAACTATATTTTGAAATATTGTGTCTTAATGAATAGCTGCCTTTTTTCTTTTAGGAAATGGCTGTCCTCAGAGAATATGATCACATTCATTTGCCATTACATGGCATTGCCTTTTCTTGAAATTCTTTCATGATTTGATATACAACAACATGAGCATTTCTGATTAAATTTTCCCATTTTATGTGCAATGCTTCTATATTGTTTTGGTTATGCAAAAAATCCAGTCTGTATGGACTCAATTATAGGCCACAAATTTGATATAAACAACACTGGCCAAACAGCAACACTATTAAATAAGTGGCTTCTTATACTACCATACACAAAATTATTTTTGAACTTGTAGTTAACTACACCGACTTTTCGGACAAATGCTGTTTTAATTCCTGAAAAGTTCCTGGGATGTTATAAGCTTGAAGGAATGCCAATGCAGGCAAATGATACATTTTTAAACTGAAGCTTTTGTCATTGTCATGCTGTGTGACCAATCCATTCATTAGAATTTTTACCAAATGCATTGAGGTTAATGGAAAAAAAAACTTTATTGGTAACATTTTGAAATTCACTTGTAGAAGCTCTGGCCACACTTACTCAAAACTGTCATTGTGGTTTGAAAATTTATTTTTTTTTTCTGCAAAGTTCACCAGATCTTCAAATGAGCATTTACAAAATGCTTTACTATTTTGAGTTATTAATACAAAAATGAGTAGAAAAGTTCTAAAATTTTTGGATTCAACCAGGGTATTAATTGTACATAGTTAATAAAAAATAGTGGGGACAGTTGGAAGTGCCATTCATTAGACACAGCGAAGCATATTTCTATATTAGGGTTAGTGGTAAATATAAGAAAATCAAAGAAGTTTACCATTTAATGTGTTTTGTAACACTGAAGAAACCAAAATATGAACAAGTGTCTTTGGTTCAGAAGGTCGCTGAGCTTGTGGAATTCTTTATATTCTCTGACAGGCATTTTTTGAAGGCAAGTATGGCACCTATGTATGAAGGAGCAGAAATACATGATTGAATAATTTGGCAGGGGAGAGTTCTTGTGTTTTTCACCTGCATTTTTACTTATTCTGTGATCTTTGAAATACTCACTGCACTTGTATTTGGAGAGTGCTTCTGGTCTACAAATTTTGTAACTATATGCTGTCCATTTAAAAGTCTGGTTATTGCTCAGCTGGTAGAATTAAGCAGACTTTTGCTTTTGCAGCACCAATTATAATTAACATTTAAACTTGTATCATTCGGCGTTAAGTAACCTTGTACATTTAACTAATCATAGCCTTTTTAAAAGGTAATAATTTCAGAGATCCCATTCATTGTCTTGTAAGAAACACAATAAGAAGGAATGATATTCAGCTTCCCCCTATGCCAAGTCTGTATAACCCATGGTTCTCCAGAGAGTAATAAGCAATAGGATATGTATGTAGCTATATGACAGAGAACTTAGGGGAAATGGCTCATGTAATTATGATAGCTGGGAAGTCCAATGACAGGCTTTATGCAAGTGGAGACCCTGGGATGCTGGTAGAATTGTTCAGGATTTTAAAAGCCTCAGAACCTAGGGAGGCTGCAGTAAATTCTGCAATCCAAAGGCTGGCAAGCCTAACATTCTGATGACTGAGGCACCAGAAGAAGACTATTTTAGTTCTCAGGGAGAGACAAATTCTCCTTCTAAATTTTTTCTCTCCAGGCCCCAGGTGATTGGATGATGTTGACCAATAACAAGGGCAGATTTTCCCTACCTAATCCACTCAGATTCACACACTAATCTTCTCTGTAAACAACCTCACATACACACCAAAAATAATCCTTAACCAGGTTTCCAGGTATTATTTCATCTTGTCAGGTTGACACCTAAAATTAAGTACACAAATCCAATTCTGGACAATGTGGCACACATATGTATCTCCTTAAACTATACTAATTTGTTATAATGTTTAGTACAATACTGTAACCCTTGAATAAAACCATGGGACCCATATGAAGTGCCACTAGTAATGCTGGAAGTGCTTTCAAGGAGCACAAAAAAGTCTGACTTTACAAGAAAGAGTTCAGTTGACTGATATGTACTACAGGTAGCACAGAAAAGTCATGAGATTACAAAAAAAAGTTGAATTGCCTGATATGTACTATAAGTTGAGGTCTGCAGCTGTGCTTGCCTGACATTTCAAGATTAATAACTCAAACTTAAGGATCATTGTAAAAAAAAAAGTTGAAGCCATCAGTGTAGTTATACCAGCAAGTCCCAAAAGCTTGCCTTTTTGAGAAATACCTTATCTTGTGTTGAATATGCAGCTTTTATGTGAGTGAAGGACTGCTAAAAGAAAGGCACATCTAAATATTCTAATACAATGCAAGAAAAAGCCCAGTTATTATATGAAAACTTAAAGCAAAAGGAAGATGAAGGATCTAAAGCTGAAAATTTTAATACCAGCAAGAAATGGTTTGATAACTTCAGAAAGACAAATTCTGGCTTAAAACATTTTTAGAAATTTTGGCTTAAAAATATCAAGAAAAGAGGAGAAGCATCTTCTGCTGACCTAGTAGAAGCAGACCAGGTCCCAGCTACCATTAAGAAAATCATTGAGGACAAAGTATATCTACCTGAATGAGTTTTTAGTGCACACAAAAGTACCCTATTCTGAAATAAAATGCCACAAAAGGACATTCATTAGGATAAAAGAGAGGTGAGTACGAGGATTAGAGATAGGATAGTATAACTCTTCTGTTTTGTGTAAACATGGTCAGATTTATGATAAGGACTGCCCTTATCTATAATGTTGCTAACCCTGGAGCATTGAAGGGAAAAGATAAATACCAGTTGCCAGTCTTTTGGTTGTAAAACAAGTAGGCTGGGACAATAAGAATCTTTTTTCTCTATTAATCATTTGAGGCTTTGTCCTTGAAGTCAGAAAGTACCTTACCAAAAAGAGACTGCCTTTTAAAGTTCTTATAATATTGTACAATGTCCGTTGCCACCCAGAACCCTAGTTGTTCAAGACTGAATGTATAAAAAGTGGTCTAATTGCCCCCAAAATAATGTTTGCAATTCAGCCTCCAGATTAGGGGGTCATAGGGATCTATAAGCCTCATGGTTCTCTAAGGAAAGGATTGTCAACTGTATGGAAAATAATTCTAATAGAAGATGATAAAAATCTACCATTCAAGATGCCATTATCGTTACTAAAAAAAGCCACCAAAGGTATCAAGCTTGAAACAATAAATTTCTGCTGGAGAAAATTGTGTTCAGACGTTGTGCATGACTTCACAGATTTAAAACCGAGCCAATCAAAGAAATCATACAAGAGATTGTGGGTATGACCAAAAAGGTGTGTGGGGGTGTGTGAAGTGTTTCCAGATATGAATCTTGAGAGGTTCTGGTTCAATATGGCTGACTAGAAGCATTTATTTACCTTTATTACGAAGATAAGCCCAAATAACAAGTAAATAGCAAGACCTCAAGTACATCATCTCATAGAGCAGACTGAAATTCACCAGGTAAGTGATGGGACCCACAGAAAGCCAAGAAGTGTGCAGCCAGACTACCACTGATTCAGGACAGGTGCAGAGCCGAGAGAGGATCTCAAAGGTGGGAAAGGGGTGGGTGAGTGAGACACCAGCAGTGATACACACCTCCACCATGGACCTTTACAATCCTAGTCATGGGAGAGTCCCCTCAATGCCCCCAGGCCACCAGAAAAACACAAGAGCCACCTGAAAACACTGTAGAGGCACCGTTCAAGCCCACATGGAATCCCACAGGCTTTTGATCCCTGAGTAGGCCACTGTCAGCTACTCACCACCCCACCAAAGAGAAAGACCAGGTACTTTCATGTACCCCAAAGATAGAAACTACATCCATGGTATTGTGGAGCAGCCAGACTGTGCACCACGTGACTTTCCAACTCTGCTGCTCCCTACCAAATGAGGCTTGCCACCTTCTGGCCCCAAGGACACCCATACCATCTCCATCTGAACACTGGCCACAGTTCAGCATTCTTTTGAGAGCACCACTCCCAGAGGTCACTGACAAGCCCTTTACAGCTGCCTCCACCCTTGCTGCCCCTACGCCAGGGAGGGAATGGGGAGGCTGGACACATTCTGGCACTGTCAGCACAGATAACTGCAGATGAGGTACAGAACAGCAACAGATTTTATGCCCCACAGCTCCCCAACTTCACTGCTTCCTGCCAAATGGGCCTTGTCATCTTTAGGCCTCCAGTGCACCTGCCCCACCTTCATCTGAACACTGCAGCTGTGGCTGTGTGTTCCTCTGAGAGCACACTCCCAGAGGTCGCTGACTAGCCCCTTGCAGCTGCCACAGCCACAGGCTAAGTCCTTGCCACTCCAGGGCCAGAGAGAGAGCAAGGAGGCCCAGCACATGTGCATGCCCCCAAGAGTATTAATAAAACCCAGAGCTACTTTTGTAGGAGGGAAGTGCAAGTGTGCCACACACCCCACAGCTGCCAGTCTCTGTTGCTCCAGCTGAGGGGACCTGGTCTCTGCAGTTAAAGGCCCACAGCACTGCTGCCCTGCCTTCACCTGAGCATTTCTCCTGAAAGTGTAACCCCACAACCTGACAGTTCTGCTGGTGATCAGTGACCAGCCCACCCCTCTTCATCACAGCCAGCATCTGAACTCTGGGCTAGCCCAACCCTGCCTGGTCCAGCCTCTTCAGGACTCATAGACACTAACCAGCAGGCAATGTAAGGACCTGTGAACTATGGGACAATCTAGCCCAGTCCAACAGTTCTGCCACCAGACCACTTCCCACAGGGCATTAGGTCAAGCCAACTCAACCACCTGACACCTCCACAACTGATGCCCATCTACATGGGCCAAAAAAATAGAGACCTCTCTATACACATCAGTACTGTTACCAAATCAGAGAACAGGCAAGCCATATAGCTGTCTGTATTGTACTGAGTGAAGGACTTCCAAACTGAAGCCACTCCCACAGAGAGTAATGTGAAAGGAAAATAAATCTCAGGACCCCCAAACCACTAAGCTAAGAGAAAAGTCAAGCTGAAAACTATTTCAGGCAAACTTGCCTCACATTTCATTCCTAAATAAGACAGCTATAAAGATAAGAAGCTACATACTTTCCTCACTCTTTCGCCATAGGAAATTCCTTCTAGACATAGGACAGACAGAACTCTAAGTCATTCCTCTGAGGCTCACCTGAGACAAATTCATATCTGATTGCTTCCTCTGCCCTGTTGTTTATGTAAAAATCCAGATTTACCGAGCCAGGCCAAATTGTGTATTCAGTGGAAGGCTGAACAAGGACTCAGAAGAATGCAACCTTTTGTCTTCTAACCCGGAAGCCCTCACTTCGAGTTGTCCCGCCTTACTGGACTGAACCAATGTACATCTTGCACATATTGATTGATGTCTCATGTCTCCCTAAAATGTGTAAAAGTAAACTGTACTCTCGACCACCTTGGGCACACGTCATCAGGACTTCCCTGAGGAAGTGTCATGGGTGTGTCCTTAACCTTGGCAAAATCAACTTTCTAAATTGACCGAGACCTGTCTCACATATTTTGGCTTAACAGTAACAATACAGGCATTTACTGTGGCTTAAAGATAGACAACAGTATGCCTCTAAATTGACAGTCATGAGCCATGGGACAAGGGTGTTACTGGGAAACAGATCGTGCTCTAGCCTATCCAGGGTATGGAGCCAGTGCCATCCCCTCACTTCCTGCAGAGACCTCAAAGACTCCTGGCCACCCCCATCAGGGCTGGTGCCTGCACCCATCACTGAAGTACTCGTAAGCATGCCAGGGGATCCAGCTCTGCTCAGCTTTGTCACCCTCCCTCGATTAAACAGGAAGCTACGGGCACTGTGCACTCCACTACTCAGCCCATCACAGGAAACAGCAGAGAGCATCTCACAGGAAACAACAAAGTGCATACATATCTGCTTGTGTTGCAGCTGGCTCTTTCCCATAAACACCACCTAGTGGCCTGCACTTCGAACTGCACAGCCTCATATAAAACCTGCCAATAAAAGACAACAGGTCTACAGAAGCAAAGACAAAAGGTCCTCCTCAACATACGTTATAGTCACACTCTCTGGGGAAGGATGAAAAAGAAATAAGGAAAAAAGCAATCCTATCCTAAAGAAAATAATTTCAAAAACAAGGAATGCCAGCCTTTGCAGATGAGGAATCAGTGTAAATCCTGGCATCATGAAAAAACTGAATATTGTGAGACCACCAAAGGATAACACTAGATCTCTAGCAATGGATCCTAACCAAACCGGATATTCAGAAATGATAGATGAAGAATACAAAGTATGGATTGTGAGGAAACTCAAAGAAATCCAAGAGAAGGTTTAAAATCAGCACATAGAAACAAAAGCAATCTGAGAAATAGAAGAGATAAATATATTTAAAAATCAAACAGAATTTTTGGAAATGAAAGAATCACTTATGTAATTTGGAACTACAGTTGAAAGGTTTGACAATACACCATATTAAGCATAAGAATTTCAGAACTTGAAGATGGGTAATTCAACTAAGTCAGATAAAAATAAAGAAACAAGGCCGGGCGCGGTGGCTCACGCCTGTAATCCCAGCACTTTGGGAGGCCGAGGCGGGCGGATCACGAGGTCAGGAGATCGAGACCATCCCGGCTAAAACGGTGAAACCCCGTCTCTACTAAAAATACAAAAAATTAGCCGGGCGTAGTGGCGGGCGCCTGTAGTCCCAGCTACTCGGGAGGCTGAGGCAGGAGAATGGCGTGAACCCGGGAGGCGGAGCTTGCAGTGAGCCGAGATCCCGCCACTGCACTCCAGCCTGGGCGACAGAGCGAGACTCCGTCTCAAAAAAAAAAAAAAAAAAAAAGAAAAAAAGAAACAAATGTAAAAGAATAAACAAAACCTTCAAGAAATATGGGATTATGTAAAGCAACCAAACCTGTAATATATTGGCATTTCAGAGAGAGAAGAAGAAAAATTAGGCAGGCTAGACAACATATGTGAGAGAATAATTCATAAAAATTGCCATAATCTTGCTAGAGAGGTAGACATCTAAGTACAAGAAATCCACAGAATGCCTTCAAGAGGCTATACAAAACAAACATTATCAAGGAATATAGTCACTGTATTATTCAAGGTAAACACTAAATTTAAAAATCTTAAAGGCAGCTAGAGAAAAGGGTTAAATCACTTATAAAGGAAAATCGATTAGACTAACAACATACTTTTAAGTAGAAACCTTACATGCCAAAAGATATTGGGGAGCTATTTTTAGCCTCCTTAAAGAAAAAAAATCAGCTAAGAATTGTATATCCTGCCAAACTAAGCGTCATAAATGAAGTAGAAATAAAGTATTTCCCAGCCACACAAATTCTAAAAGAAGTTGTCACCAATAGACCAGTCCCATAGGAAATACTTAAAGGAATTCTAAATATGGAAATGAGAGGACGATACTCACCATCAGAAAAGACCATGTAAGGACAAAGCTCACAGATCCTATAAATTACACAATTAAAACTCCAAAACAACTAGCTAACAACAGTACAACAGGAACAAAACCTCATTTATCAATATTAACCTTGAGTGTAAATGGCCTAAATGCCCTGTTTAAAAGATACAGAGTGGGAAATTGAATTTAAAAATAAGAACCAACCATCTACTGTCCATGTGACACCTACCTACTGGTTAACGACACATTCAAACTCAAAGTAAAATGGTAGAAAAAGACACATCATGAAAATGAAAAACGAAAGCAAGCAGGAGTAGCCATTCTCATATCTAACAGACTTTAAACCAACAACAATTAAAAAAGGTAAAGAAGGATATTATATATATAATGGTAAAGGGTTTAAAACCACAAGAAGATTTAACTATCTAAATATATATGTATCAAACACTGGAGCACCCAGATTCATAAAACAAGTAGTTATAGACCTATGAAAAAAGATTGATCACAAACAATAGTGGTGGGAGACTTCAACACCACACTGACATCACTGGACATATCACTGAGGCAGAAAATCAACAAAGAAACTGTGAACATAAACTGGACTGTAGACAAAATGGACCTAATGGATATTTACAGAACATTCCACTTAACAGCAGCAGAATATGTGTTTCTGTCACCTGCACATAGAATATCATACAGAATCAACCATATACCTGGACATAAAGTAAATGTCAATAAATTTAATAAAATCAAAATAGCATCAATTATCTTCTCAGATCACAGTGAAATAACATTAGAAATCAATACCAAGAGAAACTCTCAGAATTACATAAGTTAATGCAAACTAAACTATTTGTTTCTGAATGACATCTGGGTAAACAAAATTAAAACTGAAATCAAAAAAATTTTTGAAATGAATGAAAATAGAGACACCACATATCCAAACCTCTGGGATAAAGGAACAGCAGTGCTGAAAGAAATCATAGGCAATACAAACAAATGAAAACACATCCCATGCTCATGGATGGGTAAAATCAATATTGTGAAAATGACCATAGTGCCTAAAGCAATCTACAAATTCAATGCAATTCTCATCAAAATGTCACCATCATTCTTAACACAATTAGAAAAAAACAATTTGAGAATTCATATGGAACCAAAAAAGAGCCCACATAGCCCAAACAAGACTAAGCAGAAAGAACAAATCTGGAAGTATCACATTACCTGATTTCAAACTATGCTGTAAGGCCATAGTCACCAAAACAGCATGGTACTGATATAAAAATAGGCACATAGACCAATGGAACAGAATAGAGAACCCAGAAGTAAACCCAAATACTTACAGCCAACTGATCTTCAACAATGCAAACAAAAACATAAAGTGGAGAAAGGACACCCTTTTCAACAAATGATGCTGGGATAATTGGCTAGCCACATGCAAGAGAAGGAAACTGGATCCTCATCTCTCACCTTATAGAAAAATCAACTCAAGATGGATTATACAAAAATCAACTCGATGGGTTATGGACATTTGTTGAATAGCATGTCCTTTCCCCACTGTAACCTCTCACTGTAACCTCTACCTCCCGGGTTCAAGCGATTCTCCTGCCTCAGCCTCCTGAGTAGCTGGGATTACAGGTACCTGCCACCAAGCGCAGCTAATTTTTCTAATTTTAGTAGATACAAGGTTTCACCATGTTGGCCAGGCTTGTCTCAAACTCCTGACCTCAGGTGATCTGCCCGCCTCGGCCTTCCAAAGTACTGGGATTACAGACATGAGCCACCACACCCAGCCAGTTCCATAAAAATTTTAGGATTGTTTTTGTATTTCTATGAAGAATATCACTTATACTTTATTAGAGATTACATTGAATTCGTACATCATTTTGGGTAGTATGAACATTTTAACAATATTCTTTCAATCTATGAACATAAAATAGCATTTTATTTTTTGTGTCTTTGTCAACTTTATATTTTCAGTGTAGAAGACTTTCCCTTTTTTGGTTATGTTTGTTCCTAGGTATTTTATTTTTGTAGCAATTTTAAATAGAATTGCTTTCTTCATTCATTTTTCAAATGTTTCACTATTGGCACAGAAATACTACTGATTTTTGTTTGTTGATTTTCTTTTTTCTTTTCTTTTTTTTTTTGAGACGGAGTCTTGCTCTGTCACCAGGCTGGAGTGCAGTGGCATCATCTCAGCTCACTGCAACCTCTGCCTCCCGAGTTCAAGTGATTCTCCTGCCTCAGCCTCCTGAGTAGCTGGGACTACAGGCACGTGCCACCATGCCCAGCTAATTTTTGTATTTTTAGTTGAGACAGGGTTTCCCCATGTGGGCCAGGATGGTCTCGATCTCTTGACCTCGTGATCTGCCCGCCTTAGCCTCCCAAAGTCCTGGGATTACAGGTGTGAGCCACTGCGCCCAGCCTGTTGATTTTCTAACTTGCAACGTTACTGAATTTGTTTATCAGTTCTAACATGTTTTGGTGGAATTTTTGAGTCCCGCACTGGAGAAAAGTCCAGGACCTGATGACTTCACTGCTTCATTATAGCAAACACTTACCGAAAAAAATGCCAATTCTACTCAAACTGTTTCAAGAAATTCAAAAGGAAGGAATACATTCATACTTATTCTATGAGGCCAGCATTATTCGGATACTACAACCAGACGAAGACATAACAAGGAGAGAAAACTACAGGCCAATATCCCTGATGAACATACATACAATAATCCTCAGCAAAATACTAGAAAATCAAATTCAACAACACATTAAAAAGATAATTCACCAAAATCAAGTGGGATTTATCCCAGGGATGCATGAATGGTTCAACATATGCAAATAAATAAATATAATAAATCACATTAATAGAATCAAAGAAAAATCTATTTGAACCTTTTAGTACATGCCAGAAAATCATTTGAGAAAACTCAACATCACTTCATAATAAAAACTCTCTAAAAACTGTGTATGGGAAGAACTTACCTCAGCCTAATAAAGGACATATATATGACACACCCACAGCTAGCATCATATTGAATGGGGAAAAATTGAACACCTTTTCTCTATGATTTGGAACAACACAAAGATGCCCACTTTTACCACTTTTATTCAACATACTACGGTAAGTCCTGGACAGAGCAATTAGACAAGAGAAAGAAATAAAAAGCATCCAAATTGGCCAGGAAGAAGTAAAAAATCTTGTTTGCAGACAATATAATCTTATATTTAGAATAACTTCTTTTAAAGTCTCTCTTTTCCTCATTTCACCTGGGTAAACTTCTAGCTGGTGTACAACTTAGCTTGTTGCGTTCTTAGAACTACTAGCCTCCTCTTAATTGATTACTACCAAAAATCTCCATTGTTTTCTATTGCTATTTTAGATTTAAGCTTCCCAGCTCTGTTCCAGGTAAAGTCAGTGCCCTTGGGAAAAAAATACACAACTCTGTCTTATGGACTGCCTCTTCTCCTGGGCAAAATATTTTTGCCAATCCTCCTCTCAAAGTGGTACTCTGGCTGTATAAGCAGGCCAATGGGCAGTTTGGGTAGATTCTGGTCTTTTCAGCTTATCTCTCTTGGCATGGAACCTATGCCCTCTAAGAAAGCTCATCTTGTTGAAACTGGGATAGATAAAGCTCCGGCCATATGAATGGGGGCTGGGTACAGGAACAAAACCTCTGATCTCTTAGCCAGATGGACCTGAAGAGGAATGAAAATTTTTAGCATCATTCTCCTCTTAGAAAGATGTTGTGGCCTTAGACTGGAAGGGAAGGAGGGAAGTAGCCATGTGTTGTTGGTTGGACCCCTTCCCCTACCTCACAGTAGAATTTCAACACACTGAAAAGGACATGGCAATATGATGAAGGAATGTGTTATGGTCCAAATATCTCAGACTATCATGACTCTTTCCAATATTTAGTATATTTTCTTAAATATATGCTAAATATATAAATGTATATGTGTGTATATATACTTAAGTGCTTCCTTATGTATTTATATACATAAATATATATGTATATGTGTGAATATATACACATATGTGTATATATAAAATTTTCTGTATGCTCTTTGGACAGTTTCTACAGATTGAAATTGCTGATTTTAAATAATTTTCGCAAATTATGTTTGTTTCACTGGGGAAAGGGTCTATAGAGCTTTTTATGCTACCCTTCTGGAATTGTCGCTCATCTGTTAAACTTTGTTTTTAATTTAATTAAATTTTAATTTTATACAATTTGATTTATAATAATGGATGTATTTAACAACTAGCTTTAAAAAAGTCTATAAATTAACATTCTATGCTTGCTAGCCAGTATAAGCTGCTTTCAGCACAGTGCTGAGTTGAGTACAGGAAGCATGTAAGCTGTAATGCATACATATAGATATGTAGTTGCTCTTCTATGAGAGAGGAACAACAACATAAAAAAAAAGCAAAATTATTTTGAGGTTGTTGTCCTGAATATGTGTATCTGTATTATCAAAAACTAATTATTAACATCTCATAAAATGCTCCATTTGTATTCTTCTTCTTTTTTTTTTGAGACGGAGTCTTGCCCTGTCGCCCAAGCTGGAGTGCAGTGGCATGACCTCGGCTCACTGCAACCTCCGCCTCCTGGGTTCAAACAATTCTCCTGCCTCAGCCTCCCGAGTAGCTGGGATTACAGGTGCAAGCCACCATGCCTGGCTAATTTTTGTATTTTTTTTTTAGTAGAGTTGGGGTTTCACCATGTTGGCCAGGCTGGTCTCGAACTCCTGACCTTGTAATCTACCCTCCTCTGCCTCCCAAAGTTCTGGGATTACAGGCGTGAGCCACTGTGCCCGGCCTGCATTCATTTTTTTGTGCAGATAACCTTTGACTATAGTTACTGATTATGTCAAGTTTGAAAAATTGTGACCCAATATTATAATAATTTCTTATGATCTTTATTGGACAATTATTTCCTATAGTTGATTTATAAATGCTTCCTAGAGATACCAGAAAGTACAGATTTAAAATATTCCATTTTTCAGTGTGTAATGTTTATAAAAGCAAGCAAAGTCAATTTTCAAGTGTGGAATCATTTGATAGTAATAACCTATGTGAAGCTCAAATTCAGGACTTTCCTAGATTTAATGCCTTTCTTCAGGTTTTGCATGAGCATCTTAAAATTCTGGTCTTGAGACAAAAGCACATTTTATGCACTTTACCTTTCTTTTAACTAATCGTTGTTAAAGACATCTAGAGACATTATAAATGCCCCTTATCTATCATCTCGTAAATAATGGGAAAACATATTTACTAATATAGAACTTCTTCTAAGACAGATCATAGAGACAAATTCTTCCTTGTTACTCTGGTAATGAACAGTTAGCATAAACTCATCACACTATCACCATAGGCATATCGTGACACCCAGAGGCTTTTGTGGCCCAAAAAATTAATTTCTGTTTTGCTTCATATAAATCTAGAATTAGGAATGGGATAATTGAAGCTTATTTTGTGCTTCATGTGATGAGTTAATACTAATTATTGTATAAACACGAAAGGAGAATTTTCTCTACAGAACAGTGACTAATTATCCATTTTCTCTTGTGCCTAACTTAGTAGATGTTCAAAATGTTAATGGTAACCTAAACCTGTTATGTTTTTGATTGACTCATTCTATGTTTTACTGTGTATTTGAGCTGTAGTGACTATGTACTTTTTATAGTTTACTTGATATTGAATATTTTTTCACCAAATAGTGTAAAAGTATATCAGTAGAAAAAGTAGCATTCTGCAATGTTTTACTATAGTTATAATATTAATTTTTATTTTTATGAAAATATCATTCCTGTAGAACTCAGAATACACTTAATTAGACACATGTGCTGAACAGGCTTAAAAAACCCAAACCACTGAAAAATGCTAAACTGACATTATGCTGACACTGCAGATTGGCTAAGTTTTAATTGTTCTATGTGATGAGCTTGTGTGGAAGTGATTCACATGATACCATGATAATGGCACTCAGTGAGCATGTCGATATAAACATAAAAGTTTAACATAAATATGATTTTAGCAAAATATGCCTTGCTAATAGCTTGTGTCATATAACTAATGCTATAGCTTTCAAAAATTAGCTCAGAAAAGTATAGCACAGTGGAATATATATTCAAAAAATCCCTTGTAATTAAAAGTCTGAGCTATTTAAATATCTTTTGAAGATGCCTCAGTTTTGCTAAGAATGATTCTTGAAAAAACTTTTGCTAATTCGTTGTCAGCCATCATTTCTTTATCATCAATAACACAAGTCGTGGAATATACTGGCATGTACATTTATCCAAATAGAAAACAAAGTATATATTTTTAAAAAATTAGTTTTTCCAGGACCATTTATTTTGGCTTTTAAAAATGTTTTATTTCAGACAAGTATTTATTTTGCCTATTGTGAAAATTTCACATATTATGAATCTGATCAATGGCCAGACATACTTACACTCATAGTGCTAGTATAATTTTGTATAGTACTCTACTTATAATAAACTTAATGGTGAACAAACAAGTTGATACCTACGCTGTTTAAGTTGCAGGAGAAGGGTTTATTTTTTTATATATACATACATAAATAAATAGGCAATTCAATAATAGTAGCTAAGAACTGTAATACTGCACACCAAATAACAGATAAGGCAACTAGGTAGAAAATTAGTAGCATTATAGAAGTCTTTAACAATGTTATTGACAAACAAATATCAACACCATCAAAAACTAACTGATACCTTTAGGGCATTCCAACAGAAAAAAAGTAGTTGGGTTATAACATATAGAAATGCAATATATCTAACACTAACATAACACAAAGAAGGTGGATTAAAGAAAATCTGTATTACAGTAGGGAAATGACAAAAGATGGTAACTCAAGTACATAGGAGTAAATGAAAAGGACCATAAATGGTTAATAAGGGTAATATAACAAACTTTATAATATATATTTACTATAATTTCTCGTCTCATTTTTAAAAAGACTTACATGAAGTAATAATTTTAAAGTTTGTGACTATATTTGTATAATAGGTAGAAAAATAGTAACACACAAATAAGGAAGAAGAGACAGAGCAATATAGAAGTAATATTTTTATATTTCAGTGTAATTAAGGTACCCTAAATCTAAAGTTGATTCTGATAAGTTCTGTATAATAAACCCTTGACAAATCAATAAAAATAACTCAAAAATATAGCACAAATGTATTAAACACATACAGAAATCAAATTTACCCAGTGGAATATAAAGTCCGAGTCTGTTTTAATTGTGATGTATGGTCACATGTGTGTAATCTTGAAACTAAATGTGTATTCTATTATTTTATGTGGAGTACCATATAGAAAGGAAGTAAGCCACAGTTTTTGATAGTGTTACTTAAGTCTTCTATATCTGTAGGCTGATCGTGAACCTAGTTGCTCCATCTCTTATTGAATGTGGAGTGTTGACATTCCCATCTATTGCTATTAAATTGCCTATTCATTTCTGAATTAGCAAATATTCCCTTAATGCAAAAATAACAAAAATACAGATGACAGAGAAAGCAGAAATTAAATGGCAGATGCAATCCAATTATTAATAGTACCATTAAATGTAAATAGATTAATCCAATCAAAAGGCAGAGATAGACTGTATAAAAATACCTGATTACACAATGTGCTGCTTATAAGAGACATAATTTAGATTAAAAACTACAAGAGAATAAAAGTAAAATGATGGAAAATATGTATTACAAAAAAGCAAGAAGAAGCTGGAGTGTCTATTCTGCTATCAGACAAAATAGACTAAGAAATTTTACTAGAAATACAGTGGGGTATTTAATAATAACCAACATGTATAAATCTATCAGAAAAATAATTATAAATGGAAATGCATCTAAAAACAGAGCGCTAAAATGCATAAAACAAAAACTGCCAGAGAATAAGAGAGAGATTGATCATTCAACAATAACAGAGTTTTTAATGCTTCGCCTTCAACAGTAGATGGAACAACAAGGCAGAATATCATCAATGAAATATAAGACTATAAGCTTAGTAAACTCAACAGGTATCTATAGAGTGCTTCACTTAAGAACAGAGTATACATTCTTCTCAATGTATACATGGAATATTCTCCAGCATAGATAATATGCTAGGCCAAAACCAAGCTTCAATAATTTAAACAGAAATAATATAAAGCATGTTTTTCCACCAGAATGGAATAAAATTAGTAATTAATAACAGAAAAAAATTGGAAAACATATATATATGGAAATCAGAGTACTCACTCTTAAGTAATGATTATGTCAAAGAAGAAAAAAAAGGAAATCAGACAATACTTTGAGATGAATGAAAATCAAAATGTAATATCATAAAACTTATGAGACTAAGTGAAAGCAGTGCTTACTGGGAATTTTATCAGTCACTATATTAAGAAAAAGAAATGTCTCAAACAAATTAACCAACCTTCCACCTAAAGACACTGGATGGAGAGCAAACTAAAACTAAGGCAAGGAAGAGGAAAAAATAATAAAGATTAGCATAACTTTAATGAAATTGAGGCTAGATAAAACAGAGAAAATTAATAAAACCTAAAAGTGATTCTCTGGAATAATCAACAAATTTGAGAAATCTTTAGCTAGATTTACCAAAATAAATAAGAGAGAAGACTCAAGTTACTACAGTCTGAATTGAAAGAGGTGATATTACTGCCATCCTCACTGAAACAAAAATGATTACAAAGACACTACAAACAATTGTATTCCAGAAAATTAGATAACTTAGATGAAATTAGCAAATTTTTAAAAAGACGCCAACTACTGAAACTAGTGCAGAAAGTAATAAGCAATAAAAATAGACTTAAAACAAGTGGAAAGATTGAATTAGTAATAATTTTAAAAATACCCACAAATAAATTTCAAGCCCAGATGGCTTTATCACCAACTTTTATTAAACATTTTTAAAGTATATAATACCAATCTTCACAAACTCTTCCAGAAAGTAGTGAAGGTAAGAACTCCAGATCGAGACCATCCTGGCTAACAAGGTGAAACCCCGTCTCTACTAAAAATACAAAAAATTAGCCGGGCGCGGTGGCGGGCGCCTGTAGTCCCAGCTACTCGGGAGGCTGAGGCAGGAGAATGGCGTGAACCCGGGAGGCGGAGCTTGCAGTGAGCCGAGATCACACCACTGCACTCCAGCCTGGGCCACAGAGCGAGACTCCGTCTCAAAAAAAAAAAAACTCCAACTTATATGAGGCCATGTGGATTTTCAACTGCACAGGCGATTGACATACCAAATTCCTGCATTGTTCAAAAGTTAACTGTATTATGTTGAGGACTTTTCCTCAACAGATCTACATTCATAAAGAAAATCTGGACCTAAATCGTCTTTCTTTATAAATCTTTGTCTGTTTTGGTTACCAGGATAATGATGGCCTCCCCAAAAACAACAAGTAATAGCATACTGTTGCCTAGAAGCCTTACAGATAACATAAACAATTGACTAACACAAATTTGTATATTATATTTATTAAATACTGTACTCTTACAATAAAGTGAACTAGAGAAAAAATGTTTTTAAGAAAATCATAAAGAAAAGAAAATATATTTAGTATTCATTAAGTGGAAGTGGCTCATAATAGAGGTCTTCGTCCTTATTGTCTTCATGTATATACTATGATTATATTTATGCAATTATTATTTAATACTTCACCTTTACATTTGTTTACATTTCTCTTGACTGCTAGTGGTGCCATGTATGGTCTGGAAATATGTCTGTACGTTTTGATAAATTTTAAATTTTGTAATAGATATGTATATATTCTACAGTAGTGAATAATAAGATAGACTAGTATATACATATATTTTATGCATTCATGACATTCCATACTTCTTTGTATCAAAATTCGTTGACTATGTTGACCGTGGTTTTTTTCAAATTATCACAAATCCCCAGATATTTTGCTAATGTATTTGTTGAAAAAAAAATCCACACATTTCAAGCCCATGTTATTCAAAGATAAACTCTAATGGCAAACTGAAACCTGCAACTTATAAGAAGAAATATACACCATTGCCAAATGAGATTTATACCTTGAAGGTAATATTGGCTTAATATCTAACAATTAATGAAATTAACACATCACATCAATAGAATAAGAGATAAAAATCAGAGGACCATCTCAATAGACACTGAAAAAGCATTTGACCAAATCAAATGTAATTTCATGATAAAACCACTCAATTAACTAGGAATAGAAGAAAACTTCCTCAACCTGATAAAGAGTATGCACAAAAAAACCCAGCAGCTAATATTACACTTAACCATGAAAGACTGGATTCTTTCTCCTTAAGATCAGAAATAAGACAAAAATATCTACTCTCATTACATCTATTTAAAATTTCACTGGCAGTACTATCCAGGGGAATTAGATATGCAAAAGAAATAGTAAACATTCAGATTTGAAAGGAAGAGGTAAAACTATCTCAATTCACAGATGAAATGGTCTTGAGTGTAGAATATCTTGAGGAATTAATGACAAATATTAGAACACGTAAATGAGTTCAGCACAACTGCAGTATATAAGATCAATAAACAAACATTAATTTTACTTTTTTAAACTTGAAACAAAGAATCTGAAAATAAAATTGAGAATGATTTTATTTACAATAGTACCAAAATAATAAAATACCTAGAAATAAACTTAAAAACTTGTACTCTGAAAGCCGTAAACAATTGTTTAAAGAAATTAAAGACAATAATACGTGGGAAAAATACTTAATGATTATAGAACTGAAAAGTTTATATCGTAAGGTGAAAATGCTTCCCAAATTGACTTACAGATGCAACACAAGTCTTGTTATTTTATTTATAGAAATTAGTGAGCTGGTTCTAAATTTTAAATGTATATAGAATTGCAAGGGACTCAGATTAACGAAACAATATTTAAAAGGAGGAACAAAGTAGTAAGACACACATTTCCCAGTTTCAGTACTTAACTAGAAAGTGACAATAATCAATGCAGTGTTACTGGCAAAAGCATTAGACATGGAAAAAAATGGAATAGAATTGAGAGTCCAGAAACAGAAATATGCATCCATGTTCAACTGATTTTTGACAAGGGTGCCAAGGCCATTTAATGAGAAATAATAGTCATTCAGCAAATGGTGCTGGGACAACTGGACACCCACATGCAAATGAATAAAATGGGATTGTTACCTCATATCATGTTTAAGAAGGTTAACAGATTAAAAATCTGTACATAAGATCTAAAAGTATAAAACACTTAGAAGAAAATACACATACATCTTAATAAGCTTGGATTAGTTGATGGTTTCTTAGATATGATATTAAAAGCACAATCAACAAAATGATAGATTGTATTTCATCCAATTAAATACTTTTGTGTGTCAAAGGATATAATTTTAAAAAGTAAAGAGACAATCCAAAGAATGGGAGACAATATTTGCAATGATTATATCTGATAAAGTAGTTTTATCTTGAAATATATATGTTCAAAATTTAAATTATGATGATGGTTGCCCAACCTTGTGAATATACTAGAAGCCATTGAACTGTACACTTTTAATAGGTGCATTTTATATTCTCATATTATGGTAATTATACATCAATAAAGTGTTTAGAAAGAGAGAGATAGGATGCAAGCAAACTCTCGTTAGGTATGTTAACAACAAATCAAACAGGCTCCACGTCAAAGTATATTACAAGAGATAAAGAGTGGCATTTCATAATAATCAAAGGGTCAATCAAAGGGTCAATGTTAAAGAGGAAATAATTAATTTTAGTGTGCATGAATATGAAAGCAGACCTTCAAGACACCAAAAACAAAATATGTAATGTTTATTCATCAATCAAATCAAAGTTATAGTTGTATATTTTAATACTATCATATATTATGACCGAATAGTCATCTGGAAAACATTATATCTAGTATTTTTTCCAAATACTCATGGAACATTCGCTAACGGAGGCCAATATTGGACCAGAAAAATAATACTTAATGCATTTCAAATAATAGAAATTATGTAATATATGCTTTCTGACTAAAACCAAAAAAAAACAAAATTATTTCCAAAATTGGATAAAGTTTGAATAAAATATTTTTAAATGACAATATCAAAGAGTAAATCACAAGAAAATTAGAAATTATTTTTTATCTAATATAATGAAAGAAAAAATATATATAAATTAGTGGGAGGAAGTTAAAGCAGCAGTGAGAGGGAAAGGAGTATAATATAAGCATTTATTGATGCTTACATTAGCAAGTGAAAAAATATTTAAAATCAATGACCTAAACTTTAATTTTGAAAGCACAGAATTAGAAGAATGAATTAATTCTAAAGTAGAAGGGAGAAAACAATACATTTCATAATTGACATTAATATAGTTGAAAATTCCCAGAGTTACATATCCAATTCCATAATATCAATGTTGATTGTTTTTCTGGTTCGACTTTCCCAGGGATTTGGCTTCTCAAGCCCAAGTTACTTTAAGAGGTAGCTCCCATATCTATTAAATTAGACATGTTTGCTTGTTTTTATCTAGTTGTTTTTGCTTTTGCTCATTTTTAATAAAGCTGAAGACAAACTGATCATATTTAAATGTTACAACATTGGTAATTCTTTTGTGTGTGATGTTGACTCAGATTAAGCTGTGGTTTATCTAAAGTTAAAACTTTATAAAACATATATTTGAAAGTGTTTATAGTTTTCTTCAGAGGCAGAAAAAATATGAGTTATAATTCTATGAGCGATTATAATTTGTGATATATCCATCATATTGGTTTTGGCTGTTGTAGAGCTATTTCCTTTCTATGAAGTATTTATTTTTTGACTCAATGAATATATAGTTTGATTTCCTATTCTTTTTGATAGTAATCAACGGGATGAATTCACATTTATTTTATGCTTTATATCAAGTTGCCAGTTTTTAATTTTCACAAAAATCTTATGAGAAAGGCATATTATTTTTTACTTAGATAAGAAAACTGTGGCTCAAAAAGATTAAGCTTAAAAGTAGTGTAATTACCTATGAATATATGTTTATATTACTTTAAACACAAGATGTATAGGAAAGACATACATATACACTCACTAACAGAAATGTGCATATACATACATCTACAATGCACCTAAATAAAAATTTTGTGGCAGAACAGCTCTCAGTCAAATTTAAAAGAAAATAAAGTTTCTATTCACCACTACATAATGCAAATTCACTCTCTTCTCCCTTCTTCCTGATTCTCCACTGTTACCCTGAATCATCAACGTCCTTTGTTGTAGTCTATAATTAAAAATATTCCAATTATTTATCTGAACTTCTTATATAAATATTACTTGAAAGTTTGTGACTATTTTTTTGAATTCTAGTAAATACTGGTAAACTGAGTGAATATTTTTAAAAAAGTCTTAATATATTTCTAGTTTAGATAACACAGTTATATTCCAAGAAGTACATTCTAGTAACATAATGCCACAATGTGAAGGGGAGGGGAATATAAACCATTAAATATATAAGAAGAGGTATATTTATGTATAATGATACAAAACTGATAATATTTAATTTGGCAAAATATCAAGTATGAAATTCACATCCATTTATTTATTTACCTTTTATTTTATCTGTTTTGGAGTTAGAATAATCACATTGTTGAAGAATGTCTTTAAAATTATTATTTGGATGGTACTCACTGGTTTTCCTGCTGGAAGAAAATGACATTAATAAGCATTTTTAATGAACAAGAATCAGGCTTTAGTCAAGTTTACTATGCTTAGTAAGGTCATACAGATATGTATGATGCAAAAGAAATGTTCATTCAGTAGAAATTATCCTTGGAGTACCCACACAGCCATTCTGTTTTCCACATTCAGTACAGTAGTCAATACATTATGTATTTAATACTTTATTATAAAATAGCCTTTGTGTTAGATAATTTTGCCCAATTATAGGCTAATATAAGTGTCCCAAGCACATTTAGGCTAAACTATAATGTTTAGGCTAAACTATAATGTAGGCTAAACTATAATGTTCAATAGGTTATGTGTATTAGATGCATTTTTGACTTATGGTATGTTCAAGCTATGATGAGTTTATAAAGATGTAACACCATCGTTAAGTCCAGGAACATCTGTAAATGTATTCTGTAACTTAAAATATCTGCATAAATTTTAGAGTATAAGAAGATTTGTAGGCTGGTTAGTTTAGTCTATAAAATTCTATTTCACATGTTAAAAGTCTTTTCTGGTACAAGAAAAACTTCCGTAAGCAAAAAAGAAAATACTACTTCTTAGCTTTTTTTAACAGAGGAGGAAAAAGAAGGAAATATCTAATTACAAAGTACCTTCTATTGAAACTTAAATGATTAAATACAAAAGGAAACTCACATTATTGACTCTATTTATTTGTGCTTTCTAGAGAGAAAATCATTGTTGAGGAGTCTAATACAGTATATTTAAAATCCATATATGTCTGCTTGAAACTATGGAAACCATAATTAATTGACTTGGGAATTCACTTTTAATGTGAAATCAAATCTGCAAGGGTTTTTTGTTCTCTTTTTGTTAAACCTCTTTTGGTATTATAGACATTCTGAGTTTTATTTCCAACTGAAGAGACTGTACCAACATTAATGTTTTAAAATTACATTTGACATATATTTTTGTTTGTTTTCAAATACATGCTACCTTTTGATAAATTATCTCTGCTTACCACAAATCCTTCTCTCCTTACCCTATCTCTTTGTATTTATTTATTTTCTTCTGACCTATTTGATTATTAAATATATTTAGATGAAAAGTATGATAGAAACACATCTATCTATACCATATGAGAACAATTTAAAAAATATATCAAAATCATTGTCCTCACAACATGATATCAATACCTTTTCTTTTTTTTTTTTTGGACAGAGTCTTACTGTGTGGCCCAGGTTAGAGTGCCATGGAATGATCTCGACTCACTGCAACCTCTGCCTCCCAGGTTCAAGCGCGTCTCTTGCCTCAGCCTCCCTAGTAGCTGGGACTACAGGCTTGTGCTACCACATCTGGCTAATTTTTGCATTTTTAGTAGAGACAGGGTTTCACCGTGTTGTCAAGGCTGATCTCAAACTCCTGACCTCAAGTGATCTGCCCACTTCGGCCTCCCAAAATGCTGGGATTACAGGCGTGAGCCACTGTGCCCAGCCAGATATCAATACATTTTTAAATGAAATTTGTCATCAACTAAGTATATTTTGATAAAATAGATTTTTTAATGCAGGTGAGCTACACTTATCTAACTAAAAATTTAAAAACAACTTATTAATATTTGGAATGCTACATCACTATGACTGAAAAGCCAATATGAGAAATTTTAATTCGTGTAGAAAAAGTTTTATTCATATACTACCTATCTTCACAAAGAATATATAAATTCACCTCTACACATAATATAAAACCAATAAATACCACTCTTTATTTTCAACAGTAATCTGAGGGCGGTGAGAGAAGAGGTTAGAAAATTAAGCCTGAGCGACAGTGCTTAAAACACAGCTTGCATGAACTAATATTTAATAGAGCAGAAGAAAGCTGGGTGTAATTTCAAAATCCCTCTCTGTTATCTTTAATTTCTTTGAGTTTCCTCAAAACAGCTATTTTACATTTTCTGTCTGAAAGGTCACATACCTCTTTTTTTCTAGGATTAGTCCCTGGTGCTTTATTCTGTTAATTTGGTGAGGTCATGTTTTCCTGTATGTTCTTGATACTAATAGATGTTCATCTCTGTCTGGGCATCAAAGAGTTAGGTTTTTATTGTAGTTTTCTTAGTCTGGGCTTATTATCCTCATCCTTCTTGGAAAGGCTTTCCAGATTTTCGAAAAGACTTGGTTGTTGTGATCTAAGCTGTATCTGCTTTAGGGGGCACCACAAGCTCATTAACACTGTTTTTTGCAGACTTATATAGGTACCATCTTGATAGTCCTGGGCAAGATAAGGAAGAATTCTCTGAATTACAAGGCAGAGACTCTTGCTCTCTCCCCTTACTTTCTCCCAGAGTCTCTTTCTCTCCTTTGAGCTACTTGGAACTGTAGTTTTTGTGACACAAGCATCCCTGTGGTCACCACACCTAGGACAGCACTAGGTCAGACCTGAAGTTAGTATGGCACTGGGTCTCACCCAAGGCCTGCCGTAACCATTCCCTGACTACTTACTGTGTTTACTCAAGGACCTGGGGCTCTACAATTAGGAGGTGGTAAAGCCAGCCAGGCCTTTGTCTTTCCCTTCATGGTGGTGAGTTTTCCCAGACCTCGAGTGGGTCCAGAGGTGCCTACCAGGAGCTAGGGACTATAGTCAAAAACCTTAGCAGTCTACCTGGTATTTTATTGTACTGCAACAGAGCTGGCACTCGAACCAGAAAGCCCAGTCCTTCCCACACTTCCTTTCTCTTTCCAAAGGCAGAGGAGCCTCATCTTGTGGCCACTGCCTCCACACATCCACAGAGGGTGCTATCAGGCTACGGCCGATGACTCCTTAAGGCCCAAGGGCTCTTCAGTCAGCTTGTGGTGATTGCTGCCTTGCCTGAGACCCACCCCTCAACCTTCAGGGGAGTGGGCGCCCCTCCGGCCAAGCACAGGTCCAAAAATGTTGTCCAAGATCCAAATCTTGGAATCAGGGACCTCAAGAGCACACTTAGTGCTGTAAACCCCTGTGGCTAAGCTGGTACCTAACGTGCAAGACAAAGTCCCCTTTACTTTTCCCTCTAGTTTTCTCAAGCAGAAGGAATCTTGCTTTGTAGCCACCAGAGCTGAGAATGTTTTGAGTCTCTACTGAAGCCAGCAAGTCTCAGAGTGTCACCCCAAGCCCTTGACATAGTACCAGGGTATCGCTGCTAGTTATTCAGGGCCCAAGGGCTCTTCAGTTAGCAGTTGATGAATTATGCCAGAATTGGCTCCTTTCCTTCAAGGGAGTCGGTTCTCTTCTTACACAGAGTGTGTCTAGCAACATCATCCAGGAGCTGGGGCCTGGAAAGGGGATCTCATGACTGACTCGTGCTCTATCCTGCTGTGGCTGAGCTGGTATTCAAGAAGCAAGACAAAGCCCTCCCCGCTCTTGCCTCTCATCTCCTCAAGCAGCCTTTCAAGTTTACTTGGAGACCCATAGCAATTTAGCCCATGGTGGTGAAGCTTGCAGAAACTCAAGTAAGGGCCACTGAGATTGGCAATTCCCCTCTAGCTAGGGCTGGCTTAAATGCACCCTCTTTGGGTGGGCATCGGCTGAGTTTGCTTTTGTTTTCTTTCTGCTATAGCACTGCAGCGATGAGTTCAATGTCTCACAATTGCTACACTATTCCTCTTCCCAGCACACAGAAATGTTCTCCACACCACATGGACACTGCCAGGGGATGAAGGAGGAGTGGTGTTAGCATTCAAGACTATTTTTTTCTACCTCTTCAGTGCCTCTTTCAGCAATATAAAGTTATAATCAGGTGCTCATCTAATTTTTGGTTCTTATAATGGTGTTTTTTGTAGATTGTTGTTACATTTGTGTTCTTGCAGGTGACACGGTTAGTGGAGCCTTCTGTTCTGCCACCTTGCTCCCCTTTCCTCAAGTACTGTTTTACAGTTTTGAAGAGCACTGGTCAGGTATTTTTCAGAATGTCCCCCAATTGGAATTTCTCTGATGTTTATCTCATAATTAGACTGGAGTAATATATGGAAATCCTGAGGTGTAAAACATCATCGTCATGACATCATATCAATGATACATACTCTCAACACGATGCATCATCATTGATGTTAACATTGGTCACCTGCCTTAGATAATGTTTTCTAGTTTTCTCCAGTGTAAAGTCACTTTCATTCCCACCCTATCCATATTATATGTGTGTGCAGCTCAGATTTAAGGAATGGGGAGTTACACTCCACCTCCTTAAGGGCAGATTCTCTACATAAATTATTTAGAATTATTTTGTGTGAAAGATGTAGTTATTCTTCTCTACTCATTTATTTATTCAATAACTCATTAATTTATATCAGTATGAACAAAATGTTTTTGTTGTGGATTATTATCCAATACAAGCTCATTTATTATGTTGCTCAATTTTTTCCAGCTTTAACCATTGATAGTTCTTTTTATTTGCTCCTATAGCCCTTTGATGAACCTTAAAATGATCTGATTTTTCAGGTACTGTCTTACTTTCTGCTGCTATAAGATGCACCAGGCTTGCCTTACGTGTTTTCTTCCCTATTTGTAGAATCAGTCATTTCTTTAAGGAGATGTGGTTTCTTTTATTGAATAATTATAGTAGAAAACAAGATTCAGGTGCTGGGTGTACTCTTTGCTAATGGCATATAATTGCTTTTAGGCTCTCTCACCTGACAGAGTAAAAAGATATAGTTGTGAATACTAACCTTTGTATTATAGACTTACCTATAAATATTTATATATGTATTCATTTCTCTATTATCATATATATATAAATACATACCAATGTCTCTAACATTATTTAATTACCATATATATGATCCCAGCTTCCTCTTCTCTTTGTTAATATTTAACCTCTCACTCCAACAGTAAAAGCATAAACAAAAACAAACACAGAAAACCGGCTGCTACATTCTGTCATACACTTATTAATTACTCAATTTCAATATATATGTATAGTAATTTCAGAATTACTCACCCATATCCTTATGGGAAATGGTTTTCTAAACTTAAACAGTGCTTCTACACAGTTTCTTTTGCCTTTAGTCCTACAGACTCTTCCATCTCCTTCATTGAGGTCATTTCATATATTTCACATAGTTTTAGTACATTTTATTTTGTCAGATGATTCTGCATTCCATCCCCGGAGTCTTAATCTTCTCAATTATTTAAAAAAATGTTTGTGTACATTCAGACTTACTATTCTTTTTTTTTTTTTTTTTTTTTTTGAGACAGTTTCACTCTTGTTGCCCAGGCTGGAGTGCAATGGTGCAATCTCGGCTCATCGCAACCTCCACCTCCTGGGTTCAGCGATTCTCCTGCCTCTCCCTCCCGAGTAGCTGGGATTTCAGGCATGTGCCACCACACCCAGCTAATTTTGTATTTTTAGTAGAGACAGGGTTTCTCCATGTTGGTCAGGCTGGTCTCAAACTTCTGACCTCAAGTGATCCGTCTTCCTCAGCCTCCCAAAGTGCTGGAATGATAGGCGTGAGCCACCACACCTAGCCCAGACTTACTCTTAGTGCATAAAATTTTATGAGACTGGATAAATGCTCAATGTTTCAAATCCATCATTACAATAACATACATGATAATGTCACTTCCCTAAAAAGTCTTCTGTAGTTCACCTATTCAAACATTCTCTCACCCTTTCAACTCATGGCAACCACTAATGTGTTTATCATTTCTGTAGTTTTGCCTTTTCAGTATGTCATATAATTGGAATTATACAGTATCTAGCTCTATAGACTGGTCTCTTTCATGTAGCAACATGCATTTAAAACTCATCTATGTCTTTTTGGTTTTTGGTAGCTAATTTATTTTTATTCCTGAATAATATTCTATTGAATGGATGTACCACAGTTTGTCCATTCATCCACTAAAGGACATATTATTTGCTTCCAGGTTTTGGTAATTATGGATAAAGCAGCTATAACCATTTGCAATAGGATTTCTTTGTGCATGCATGTTTTTAGACTTTATTTTATTTTATTTTATTTTATTTTATTTTATTTTATTTTATTTTATGCATTTAGTTGTTCTACTAGTTATGTAGTGGTTCTCATTCCAATTTCTAATGACACATGATGTGCAGCATGTTTTTACATACTTCTTATTTACCTTCATTTATAGATATATATTCCATGTTGGGGTGTCATTATATATGTGGATACATATATGTGTTAATAGGCCCCTAGTGTATGATTCTTCTCCTATATGTGTTATCTTTAAAGTAACATAAATACGTATTCACATTCTAACTATACTACTTTCAATCTCGATCACTAGGAGCCATAGTTATCTCATCTATAAAAAATGATATGCTTTTCTCATAGGAGTGTTGTGAAAACATAAAAATTAGCAATTTTATATAAAGCACAAAATAAATGTGAGTTCATCTTATTACTTACAATTCTAGAAAGTAAGTCTACACATCTATTTTTTATTTTATTTTTAAATTTTAGATTTGGTGGTACATTTATTAATCTAAACTTTCTTTGAGCCCCAATATAAAAAATTCATGAAAAAAATTAGTTATCTAGTGGGAAAAAACTGTATATAATGTAGATCATGAGTTTGTCTCATCAAATTTTAACTCACATATTTTATTCTGCCTTTGAACAAAAGTGTTACCAAAAATTGTTTCTTTATATATTCAACTTTTGGTAAATCATAACACTTAATCTTTGACACAAATTAAGGTCTTAATGGAGGGCTGGAGACCCTTTTTTCTCTCTCTCTCCTCTGATAAACATTTTCCTTTTACTTTCTGCCACCTCACTCTCTAAATTCTAATATTTCTCTTCTCAACTCATTAATACTCTACACTCCACCTGATATCACCTTTTTTCAGCTAAGTGAATCGTCCTTTTTTAGTGTTGAAATCACCTCCAAGCAGAGAGCCAAGAGGCTTTTAAGGACCCAGTTATTTTTTCCCTTTATCTCATACTTGTACTGCTTAATTTCCATTCTATGGAAAGTCATTTTATACGTTTATCCAGATTTACTATTCTTTGTGTAGGAAGAGCAAATCTAATCACTGTAACTCTTATGGTCAGAAACAGGATGGATTTTTGCATTTAATATCCAACAATAAAAATAAAATATTAATTCTTCTTCAGTGTATCTGCTGAAATACCAGTGACCTTGGAATATTATACACTTAAGCAAACTGTCTTTTCAAGTGTTAGCCAACTGCAGAGTCACATGGTTTGTCTTCTCACATTGCATCTCTTACATTTCTGCTTTCACATTGTGTCTCTTACAAACCAAGACCTATGTTTGAAAGTGTCAGCCAGTCCATTAATAAGAACATTTAATTAAAATGCCAGTTGTGTTACAACTTGTTCCCTAAAAATTTCTAAGTAACTGAAAAATGAAAGTTTATTTCCCAGCTGTAGATTCCCCAGGGAAATTCAGGAAATACCTTTATAAAATCTGGTAAGAAAAAAAAGCAAACAAAAAATTCTATTCCACATGACTTCTTTCATTAAGAAAAAACCTGGAGGAGATTCTTCCAGTGTAAATATGGTAATGAATCCCTTGTAACTATTGCCTGGTGATATTTTGATTCACTGTTTCTCAAATGAAATGTTAAGTCTGTACTTCATTTTTCAAGAGTTATTATTGATATTAGAACTCACATTGTATTATTTTGAATTGGTGGTTGTTTTGTATCATAGAACTAAGGAGATGATAACAGCATAGTTTCAGGAATGACACAGTTTATTGCCATACAAATATAATTTTTTTCCCTTAGGTTTGCAGTGTTTAAAGAGGGGGAGAATTACATGAACAAATCTCACAGAGAATGCACTCAATAGGCGAGGTACATTAACCACATAGTAAGTGTGTTTCAAAATTATTAGTCTACTTGCTAAATCTGAATAAAAGCAGGCCTCTGTGGAAAGTAAAGTCTAATTCAACTTTGAGGTATGACTTTATAGGAGTGGTTCTCAGGAGAGATGATATCCAACATAGTAGGAGATCTGTGAAGGCACTTCAGGTCCTTTGACACAAGAAGATGAGGTTTCTGTTAACCAACAAGACTTCAAAGGTTAACTCAAAGCCTAAAGATGTTGCTTTGCCACTACCTGACCTGTTAGTCCTCAGAGAAGCAGCTGACAATGCAGCCCTATCACAGAAAATGTTCTTGATTTATAGCCAGCTGCAGCCTAAGCTCTCAAAGTGTCTGTCAAATTTGGGTTTATATGTATTTTGAAGTGCAGGAGGTGAGGTCAATAATTCACATATGGATTTTTATAAGGTGTCACCTTCTTAAGGAGAATGGGGAATAAACTCCAAGTTCTTATCACGGCAAAATGTATCACTTATATAGCAAACTACTTAGGTGTTTGGAATCATTTCAAGGTTATATAACATTGATTATTGGTTTAAAAGTACAACATATGGGTCATGATCAACTGAAAAGATTGTGAACTTTCAGAATCCTATAATTTGGTCTAAATAATAGAAAGTATAAATTATTTTTAAATAAATTTCTGCCACATTTATTAGCTACCACATGGTTAACATGGAATTGAGTTGTTTCTATGAAGGAAGACTTCCATCGTAAGCTTCAAATGAACTAATCCGATCTTGTATATTTACAAATTTAATCATTCAACTTATTAAATTATAAACAAAATTTTAGATGTAAATGTAACAATTACATTTTCTACTTCAATATTGTAGAGATTAAATTTGGAGGGCTTAAGTGAACCCAGTTATGGTATAATTTTCTGCCACTTCAATGAATGAGGGGTATGGCATTGAAAATGGTATCATAGGCTGGGCGTGGTGGCTCACGCCTGTAATCCCAGCACTTGGGGAGGCCGAAGTGGGTGGATCACTTGAGGTCAGGAGTTCGAGATCAGCCTGGCCAACATGGTTAAACCCCATCTGTATTAAAAATACAAAAAATTTAGCTGGGATTGGTGGCTCACGCCTGTAATCCCAGCTACTCGGGAGGCTGAGGCAGGAGAATCGCTTGAAACCAGGAGGCAGAGGTTGCAATGAGCCAAGATCATGCCACTGCACTCCAACCTGGGTGACAGAGCGAGACTCCATCTCAAAAAATAATAATAATAGTATCATAAATCAGTTCAATGCCATTTAAGTTGGCTGAAAATTTGGCACAACAAACAAATTGAGTCAATGTTTTTAGACTCAGTGATATAGCTAAGACACAAGTCCAGTTTACATTTGCTTAACAGGTTAGGGTAAAATGCATGTGATTTCGCCATAAGAAAAACATTGCAATGGCCCCACATCTTACCATTCAATTTGACATTAGTGAAAACCATGGTAAGAAAAATCACTCCCTCATTTGAGAAAGTTCATCTTCTTAATTTGTGGCCTTGATGTGTTATCAGTTTTTGTGTTATCTGCAATATTCCAGCTGCCATACCCAATGTTAAAGGTGTACGATTGGCCACACTTAAAAAATATATATATATATATATATATGTATATGTGTATATATATGTATATGTATATATTATATATATATATGAACTGCAAATATCAAAGCACAACTATTTTTTAAACATTTATTTTAAATTCAGGAGTACATGTTCAGGTTTCTTATATAGGTAAACTCGTGTTATGGAGGTATGTTGTATAGATTAGTTTATCACTCAGGTATTAAGCCTAGTACCCATTAGTTATTTTTCCTGATCCTCTCCCTTCTCCCACCCTCCACCTTCAGGTAGGCCTCAGTGTCTGCTGTTTCCCTCTGTGTGTCCATGTGTTCTCATCAGTTAGCTCCAACTCATAAATGAGAACATGTGGTATTTTCTTTGCAGCCATAAAAAGGAATGAGTTCATATCATTTACAGGAACACGGATGGAGCTGGAAGTCATCATCCTTAGCAAACACCCAGGAACAGAAAACCAACGTAAAATCATTGTATGGAAGTACTGCACTGCCATCTTTGAAAATGCAAACATAAATTCCATGACTTCAAAAAATGTTACTCCTGCTGACATTTCAAAGACAATGTACTGAAAGTTTGTAATACCAAACATTTATTTTGGGATTTAAAAGGGAATATATTGTGTGAGGTGCTAACTTATCGGTTAAACATGTAGACCACTTATGAAGCATACTAGACAGTAAATCAATATGGCCTTGCCCTTATCACCATAATTATTTTGCAAGAAGTAAACATTTACACATACCTGAGAAGATAAAATATATTTGAAAGGAATACAGTTGTAAAATAGGATATTCTTTAGCATAGATCATGACCACGCTTGTAGGAAAACAATACAAATACTGGGATGTATTTTGGTGAACAATAATTTTTACTTATGTCAATTATTTAATTTTTTCATAATCCTAGGTACTATTAAAAGTAAATCTTTATTAATTTATCAGTCATGTATGCTTTTTATAACTGTTAATAAACTTTATTTCTTGCTTTGTGCTAATCATTGTGTTAGACTTTATGGAAGATGTGAAGCTGAATAAAGCACAGAATAACTGAGCTGAAATAGGTGTTAAAATACAATCAATGTTTTGAAAATAAAATAGTAAATTTTCTGAATCTATTATAGATGTTATGGCGGTGTCTGAGTACCTAACAAATGGATTGATTTAGGAAAAATACACATATTTTGAAAGTGTTTATACAGTAGTGTTCTGCTCTGTGCTCTTCAGAAAAATAGAAAAAATAGGATATATATATTTGTCTACATACACATATGTGTGTCTGTTTATTATATATATATAGAGAGAGAGAGGAGAGAGAGAGAAAAATTATGAGGAATTGGCTAATGTGATTACAAAGGCTGAGAAAACCAAAATTTGTGTTGTGGGCCAGCTGCCTTAAGCCCCAGGAAAGCCTATGGTGCAGATGGATTCCAAGACAGTTTGTTGGAGAGAATTTCCTCTTGCTTGGAAAGGCTAGTCTTTTTGTTCTGTTTGGGCATTTAATTGATTACATAATGCTTATCCACATGATGAAGGGAAACATGTTTATTCAAAGTTCACCAGAACCAGTTTTAATATTAATCTCATACACAAATACCCTCTAAATTAACACATAAAATTAACTATAGGGATTAGCTACTGTGATAGACACAGACAAGTGAAATAAAAGCAAAAAGGCAGGAGAGGTTATTTTGATCTGGGGTGGCCAAGAGAAGCTTTATACATGAGACAAGATCAAGCTAAATCCTGGGTAGTATTTGAATAGGTCAAGAATGAAAAGAACCCATTGAACACACTTATTTTTCTCAGGAAGATCAAATCAGCATATTTAGCGGAAATAGAGGTTGGGATTATTGATGAAATAATTACTCTCATAATGATAGACTAATTAATTTGAACAGAACTTTCTAGTTCAAAAAAATGTTGAATATGGTTCGGAGTATACTAAAATTTGTTCTTAAATTCATCAAAAAATCTAAGGACTAGGTAAAGATCTGTGAGAAAAGATGAAACCAAATAATTGAGCCCTTTAAATAATTTTATTTTGATTGTGAGCTATTGACGGCTTTAATGTCTTGATAAACCAATTAAAAATGTGTGGCCTGCCAAGGATGAAGACCGTGGAAAACTATCCACCATAGTGATCTGGGATTTTTAAGGTGTGTGCCCTGAGGTAATGGTAAATTTTAATAGCTGTTCACATTTTCTGTCTGCCTTCAGTGCTTTCTTTGGTTACCCCTTTTATTTCTTCCTGAGAAATCTTTCTAGAGAATATATCTCATTATGTTCTAACACCCACTTGCTGGGAATGTGAACATTTCTTTCTGTGCCTAAATCACATTGTGCTCTTTCTCCTCCTCCATGCTAAGCTATTGAATTCTTAAATATTACTTCTTCTAGGAAAACTTTCTCTTCTTTTATCCTCCCTAATTGTGCAATTAACACCACAAATAACTGTCTCATAGTCCTCTACTATATGATCAATGTGTTACATTGTAGTGCAATAGATTACTTATTCCTTTGGTTTCCTCAAAATACCACGTACATCCAGAAGGTCACAAACCCTGTTTTTGTAATTGTATCTTGAGTAAAGTGTATTGTCTGATTTAGATGAGGTGCTTATAGCAGACATTCAGTGCTCACTATTTCTGTGCTTCTCCTTATTTTCATATGTGTGTTTGTGGCCATGTGTCAAAATCGCACTTAAACTGAACTGGGAAAACTCTCTTCATGACATTGAATCCCTGAGTTACTGGATGATAGTTGGATAACACTAAACACCATCTGACGTCGTGTAACAAATAAATTTTGTTGGACTATGCCACTGAAATTTTATGGTCAAAATGATTACAGCAGCATAATTTGTCTTATTCTATTCTAATACCAAGTCTAGAGAATGTTGACAAACACTGTCATTGGCAGTTTAGATTTGAAGGAGTAAGTTCCTGAAACAAGTTCCCATATGACACTGCAGGCAGGTTCTCCACTTCTTAAACCCCTTATCTAATTGTAGAATAATTGGCATTATTTCATCTTAAGAATTTTTAGGCCTCAGATACCTGATATTTCATTATAGAAGGAAAAGTTAATTAACCAACCCCCTGATATTGGATGTTCTAAAGTGGACAGGAACATTTCCTATTTTAAAATATTTGCTCTGGTTACATCTTATATTTTCAAAAATATTTTATGATAAATTATACTTTTAATTATAAATGATTTATTCCTAGTTTTGTCTAGAACATTATTATTCTAATAGAACTTATATATAGATCTTATCCATTGCCACTAGGAATAGAACAGACATTCATCAACTTGATGAAGAACATCTACAACTAATACCATATTAAATGAGAAAATATTGGAAGCTTCTCTTTTAAATTAGGGATAACACAAAGAGGTCTTCTATCATCACTTCTATTTGACATTGTACTGGACATTCTTGCCATAAAAATTAGTCAAAAAAAAAATTTTAGTCCTGGCACGGTGGCTCCTGCTTGTAATCTCAACACTTTGGGAGGCCAGGCTGGGAGAATGGCTTAAGTTCACGAGTTCGAGAGCAGCCTGGGTAATATAGTGAGACCCTGTCTCTACAAAAGATTTTTAAAAATTAGCCAAGTGTGGGGGCACATGCCTGTAGTTCTAGCTACTTAGGAGACTGAGGTGGGAGGACTGCTTGAGCCTGCAGTGAAGCTGTGATCCTGCCACTCACTGCACTCCAGCCTGGATTATAAGCAAGACTCTGTCTCAAAAGAAAAAAAAAAAAGAAGAAGAAGAAGAAGAAAAGGAAAAAATGAATTAAAAACCCCTGTCAATTTAGGAAATAAGACTAGAATTTGCTCATAATATCATGTTATATAAAACAATTCAAAGCATCCACCATTAGAGCTAGTCAATGAGTCCAACAAATTTGAAGGACATATCGATATACAAAAACCAATTGCATGATTATATACTGTATTACAGCAACGAAGACTAGAATAAATTTAACAAGATAGATGCGAGACTTATACACAAATTAATACAAATCACCACTGAAAGAAATTAAAGAAGACCTAAATAGAGAAACATGTCATATTCATGGATTAGAAGTGTTAATAATGTTAAGATGGCATTAATGTCCATATTAATATACAGATTCAATGACATACAATACTCACATTAATTTTACAGGGATTGTGTAAAAATCCATGTAAAAATCCCAGCTGCCTTTTTTCCTTTCTTTTCAGAAATTGACAAATTGATATTAAAATTTGCATGCAGATATGAGAAACCAAGAATAGCTAAAACTGTTTAAAAACAAAAAACGAATTTGGAGTACTCACTCCCTCATTTCAAAACCTCCTATAAATCTACAGTAATCAAGACTTTGTGGTGCTATCATAAGGAAAGTAATAGTGGAATAATGAGTTGATTCAAAATGAGTACCAAGACACTTGAATGGAGGAAAAGATATTTTCCACAAATAATCCTGGGGCAACTAGATATCATCATACAAAATAATAAATTTAAACCCCTGCCTCATACATATACAAAAATTAAGTAAATATGTATCAAAAAAATAAATAGAAGAGCTAACACCATAAAACTCATAGAAGAAAAAAATAGAAGTAAACTAAGACCTTGGGTTAGATAATAATTTTATAGATGTGACACAAGTGACAAAAGACAAAAGTAAACAAATTCAACTACATAAAAATTAAAAACTAGCATTCTTCAAATGAAACCAACAAGAACACAAAAAGATGTCATGTAAGGTCTGAAACTTAGTCACAATAGTATTTGCTGCTTTTACATATGGGGAAATAAGACAGACATTGAATGACTTAACTCCAAGTTCCCCTCCCTATTCTATTCACAAGGATAAGGTATCCCAGACAAACAAATCATCCTCTGTAAGTGGACCAGATGCAATTCTTGCTTTTTCATGAGTAGCAAGTTTCAGTTCACTGCCAGCCTGTAGAATTATTCAAACTAGCCAATCACATCTTCCTTCAGGAATCAGGAGTTATCCCACACTTCTGTTACTAAAAAGGCTATCTCACAAAGCCAATGCTTGTCCACTCCATTCCCTACTGTAATCTCTGGGTGGCCATGTACACTAGGCAGTGCCCTCATACCCTGCGCTGTGTGTCTGTGTGACTAATAAACTTAACTGTCCAGTGAGAGGTGTTGTGTGTTTGGCCACCCCCGTAATTCTCAGGTAAGAATCCATTCTCATCAATAAGCTAAGTAGAAAGTGATTATAACAATTGCTATCATGAACAGAATTATCCAACCATTGCTGTGGTCACCTGGTCAGTTCTAATTAACTGTTGTTCGTTAACTAACTGGTTCCATGGTAGGAAAAGGCTGCCTTTGACAGAACTGCCAATTTCTGATTATCTTAGTTTTGAATGTTGGCTTTTAAGGTACTTTGTTGTCTCTATCTCTTCCTACCCTAAAATACTCTCATACAAAAGGCAAGAATTGTTATTAATTGACGACAGCATAATGTGCAGATGAGTTTGGCCTCTGGTGGTCTTCAAGTCTACCACCTATAAAGGTGGCAAAAACACAGCAGCCTAACTGGTTGGCTATTGAGTCATACTTTCCAAGAATCAGCCTAGAGCTCTCTGGTCAAATGTGTCTAGCCTGGTGACTGTCATTGGCTGGTGGAGAGATCCATACAGACATTTTTGTGATTGTGTACCCTTGGGATAGACCCAGGCATAGACCTTGGTGAGGATTGTGAAAACAAAGGAGATCACCACCTTGGGAAGAATCAAACATGGCACCCTGGTGCTTAACAAGAGTCATTGTTATTCAGGTGAGGGTAACAACTTCACATATTTTCTGTGCTGCTGCTTGCCTTGCTGTTGTTGCACACATTCTCCTAAACCCTAAGTGTATTGAGGTACACATCCATGGTGGCTGGTGATGAGAAAGGATCAAAAAACAAGCTATTCTAATGCAAAACAACTAGCCGAGGTACCTGGGTTTTACTCAATATTGCTACTTATAAGCACATCAAAGGGGTACTCTTGTGATACTGGGGCTTGATGGCCTCTGGCCATGCCACAGGCAAAATGATCTTACCAGAGGTGGAATTCAATCTCAGGCAAATTGACTGGCAATCCCTGGAGAAAGTAGGTGGCTGCCTAAGAGGCAGTCCAGGCCACATGCTTCCAAAACTATCTCTGTAACTATGCAGAATGTTACCACTCATGCAAAATTGGATGGAGACAGAAACTGAAAGCCATGACTTTATACGGCTAGAAATCCAAAATATTATGAGGAAATTTATGCAGAGAAAAAATAAAAATAAAATGTGAGGAAAGGAAGGATGTTTGTCATCTGAGTTGTGACGCTCAAAACCTGCTGTGCCATTTTTCTGTTTATGGCTTTGTTTCAACAAAGTTCTGGCCTTAGTGTTATAGGAGAAAAGACCCATGTCACCCCTGTGGCACAATGAAGGGGTTAATTAAAAATGGACTTAATCCCAGGTGCTATATGTCACATTTTGTTTATCCATTCATCAACCAATAGATACTTGGGTTGCTTGCACCTTTTGGCTGTTGTGAATAATAATGCTATGAAGAAGGGTATACAAATATCTGTTTAAATTGCTGCTTTCAATTATTTTGGGTAGAGTTGCTGAATTATACAGCATTTGTACTTTTAATTTTTTGAGGACCTGCCATTCCATACTTTTTTCCACAGCAGTTGCATCATTTATATTCCCACCAATAAAGCACATGGGTTCTAATTTCTCCTAATCTGTACCAACACTTGTTATTGTATGTGTTTTTGATAACATTCATCCTAATGAGTGTGAAATGGTATCTCATTATGGTTTTGATTTGCATTTCTCTGATGGTGTATGATGTTGATCATGTTTTTATGTGCATATTGGTTATTTGTAAATATTTGAATAAGTGTCAACTGAAGTCCTTCATCCAATTTTCAACTGGACAGTTTGTCTTTTTGTTGATGAGTTGTATAAGTTTTGTATTTATTCTGGATATTAGCTCCTTGTCAACTATGATTTGTGAATATCTTCTCCCATTTTATGTGTTTCCTTTTTACTCTGTTGATAGTGCCCTTTGATTTTTAAAAGTTTTTATAAGTCAAAGGCGTAGTCCAATGTATCTCTTTTCTTCTGTTGCCTGTGCTTGTCATATTAAAGGGATCATTTCAGGCAGGTGCCGTGGCTCATGCTTATAATCCCAGCACTTTGGGAGGCTGAAGCTGGTGGATGACCTGAGGTCAGGAGTTCGAGACCAGCCTGGCCAACATGGTGAAACCTCGCATCTACTAAAAATACAAAAAAAAAAAAAAAGTAGCCAGACGCAGTAGTGCACGCCTGTAGGAGGCTGAGGCTGGAGAATTGCCTGAGCCTGGGAGGCAGAGGTTGCAGTGAGCCAAGATCACACCACTGCATTCTAGCCTGGGTGACAGAGAGAGACTCTGCCTCAAATAATAATAATAATAAATAAAGGGATAATTTCTAAATTCAATGTCATAAAGCTTTACCCCCATATTTTCTTCTAAGAGTTTTATAGTTTTAGCTCCTACTGTTACATCATTGATTTATTATGAATTAAAAATTTTATATGCTGTAAGGTAAGGGCTCCTCTTCATGCTTTGGCTTGTGAACACTTAGTTTTCCCAGCACCATTTATTTAATGGACTGACTGGCTTTTGCACCTTTAAAACACAAGTTGTGAATTAACTGTAACATCTGTTAAAATGTACCAACAGGAAAACTCTTGTAAATTTAATACTGGGTTTCAAATTACAGTTATACCTGGGAATCTCATTAAATTTAAACATAGTACTGTAGCAGCAGAATGTATGAGTCACACGGCACCAAAGTATATTAGCAGCAGAACGTATCTGAGTCACGGAGCACCAGAGTATGTTAGTGGCAGTGAATCCATACAGGTCTGCAACAAACTCAATTCTTGCCTCCTCAGAAGCAATATTTCAACTGAGGGGCATAAGGCAGAAGGAGAGACTGAGGCAAATTTTAAAGCAGAAGTGAAGTTTATTAGAGAGTATTAGAAAGAAATGTGTATGCTTGGAAGAGGGCCAATGGGCGACTTGAGAGATCAACGGCACTGTTTGACCTTTTGACTAGGGGTTTTATATGTTGGTATATTTCTGGGGTCTTGGGTCCCTTCTCCCCTGGTTCTTCCCTTGGGGTGGGCTGTCCACATGCAAAGTGGCCTACCAGCACTTGGGAGGTGAGCATGTGCAGTGCATTTATTGGAGTTTTATACATGCTCACTTGAGACATTCTTCCTTTACCAGTTGAATGTCCCTAGGAGGTCATATACCAGTTATATTCTGCCATTTTGCCTTTTAGTGAATATGCTTGAACCCACTCACCCAGCTCCCAAGGTCCCATCAGGAATCTGCCGATCACCAGCCCCTAGGTTTCCTATATCCATTTGGAGACTACCGTTCCCTGATGCCAGCTGAGACCAATTATTATTTTAGAGAAACAGTTTAACAACTACCTGACCATCACCTGATAGTTGCCTGACATTCCTGGTAGTGGTGGGGGCCTCTCCTTCCCTGTTCATGTCTGACTAGCTATCTAATATAACAGTACCTACTATAATCTTAGTGGGGGTTAACTAAATATACAATAGAAGATTAACAGGTATAAGTCACCTTAGTTATCATAAAATTAAATTGTTTCTGTCATTTATACAATAGATTGACAAAATGGTACCCTATAAACCTCAAGGTAAAATAGTCAACATAGCCCAGTATAAATTAAAACAATACATTTCAACAATTGAAATGTATTATATAAGACTATAGTATATTAAATGTAAATCTATTTGGACTTTTGTTCTCCCTTCTTGGCACAGAGTTTCAAAAAATGTTTGATATTTCCTGAGTGATAGAAATGTCCTTTGTTATTTTTAAAAAGCCCCTTGGGACCATACCAGAGTTTATGCTAAGAAGGTGACTCATGGCAGGGTCCCTAGATAACTTCAGGATGGGAGTTGGTTGCCAGAAAAACCAACCACATGATTAGGCAGAAAAAAATTTTCAACCCCACTTTATTACCTTCAGGGAAGGGAGAAGGGCTGAAGATTGAGTTAAATAACTTGGCCACTGATGTAATTAAGCATGCCTACATGGTAAAACTTCCACCAAAAAAAACAAAAAAACAAAAAAACAAAAAAAAAAACTCTGTACAATGAGACTTGGAGAGCTTCTTGCCTGGTAAACATGTTTATGTAATGGGAGGATGGCACACCCCAACAACACCGGGACAGAAATGTTGTGCTACTGCACTCCCTTGCCTTACGTATCTCTTCATCTGACTGTTTATTTATGTAATTTATAATACAACAGTACCCATAATATAACACTTGCCTGAGAGTTTTGTAAGTAATTCTAGTGAATTATCATAATTTAAGGGAAACCCTACATTTATAGTTGGTCAGTTGAAAGTGCAGGTGGCACCCAGAACTTGGGACTGACATTTAAAGTGAGGGTAGTCTGTGGGACTTAACATTTGGGGTCTGCACTAATTTCAGATAGTCATGATCAAAATTGAATTGAATATCAGGACACCTAGCTGGTGTCAGAGAGTTATTATCTGAACACAAGTACCTAATTAGTAAAAAGGTAATTATCCCCACAGCTTTTCCATTTAACAACTTATTTGGCCAGCTCTTAAACCTGGAAAAAATGAATAGTTTCTCATGGCAGATTACTGCAACTTTAATGTTATGGTCTCATCCACTAAGGCCTCCTATGCCCAATATCACTGAAAATACTGACTCCCTCCAAATAGCACTAAGGCCTCCTATGCCCAATATCACTGAAAATACTGACTCCCTCCAAATAGCAACAGGGAAATATTGTCCTATTATAAATTTGGCTAACACGTTCTGTTCAATTTCTATTTCAATGCCTCTCTGCTGAAGTTTACTTTTCCCTTTGAAGGGACACAATACACCTGTATCATGCTACCTATGGTGTATTTCAGTAGCCTTGCCATTACACACAATTTTTGTAGGCAAGATATTAACTCTGCTGTCTTTTTTTTCAGGAGCATGAGTATATTACATTGATTACATTCTCCTCTGAGAAGGTTTGTTTGATATGCTGATTAAGGAAATACAAATACAAGGGAGTTTCCAAAAAAAATAAGTCATTGCTCCATATATAGTGAAAAGCCCTGCCACCTTTGTTAAATTTCTAAAAATCACTTGGTGAACTGAAGATTGCTTCATCCCTGACACTGTCAAGAAAGAGCTATTCATGTTCTCAGCACCCATAATATTTATAAAAGTCCAGCATCTTTTGATCATTTTTGGATTCTGGAGGCAACATATTCCTCCTTTATAAATTTTGCTTAATATTACTGCTATGTGACTTTAAAATTGACAAACTTTAAATGGAAGACTCTCCAACAAAAGAATCTAGAATATGTCCAAATTGAAATCAACAGGCACTCCTAGAGATTCTTTATGAAACTGCCATTGCAAAAATTATAACTGAGAAAATTATTACAGTGAAAGAGATCTCACCTGACTCCACCTTGCTTATAACCTCCAAGCTGTCCTTGTTCATTCCCGAGTGTAGGCCAAACTAACTTGGGGAGGAACGTACTTTATAGTTTAACTTTGAAACAAAGATGATAACAGCCCTTTCCCAAAAAAACCCACTTCCTGCCTGGGAGCTAGACTGCCTTTGTAGAACTATCAAATTAGCCTCAAGTATAGAAATTATGGTTTCAGAGTCATGCAGCTGGAGTCTACAAGATTCTGACCCTCCCCAAATTGCTCCTGGGGATAGCATTGCTGTTGTAAAACCTAAGATCAGTGCTTGAGATATTTTGCAGAGCCTGCACTTGATAGATTAGCTGGCAACACCCAGATCGATAGACTGGCTCATCTGATCTTGTGGTCCCCACCCAGGAACTGACTCAGCACAAGAGGATAGCTTCAACTTCCTGTGATTCATCTCAAACCCTAGCAATCAATACTCCTGACTCACTGGCCCCCTACCCATCAAATTGTCCTTAAAAACCCCAGTCCCTGAGTTTTTCTGGAGACTGATTTGAGTAATAATAAAACTCTGGTCTCCCATACAGTCATCTCTGTGTGAATTACTCTTTCTCTATTGCAATTTCCTTGTCTTGATAAATCAGCTCTGTCTAGGCAACTGGCAAAGAGTACCCATTGGGCAGTTACATTTTGATGTAAGTTGTCCTGGGCTTTAGATGTGAGAAACTGCCCATTAGGCTCAGCACTATGCACCATTACAGTGGCAATTGCTGGTCATATACTGGGTTCCCTGAGAAGATAGGCCCTCACAGATCCTGAGCCCCTAACCCTGCATACCTAGAAGCCCGTTATGCCTTGGATCATGAAAGTGAGACCTCACAAATTTGGCATGGCCACCAAGTCCTACTTGCCACAAGATGAAGCCAAACATGGGTCCTCTGGCACATTTCATCTATTGGAGGTAGTGACCTCTCTTGTCCTCAGTCCCTGGCCAGATGCTATGGTGCTGGAGGAGGTAACCTGTCTACCAGAAACCTTCACTGGCTATGGAGCCCCTTGGGAGCAACTGAGTGAAAATAATAAAAGTTGTAAGGGCCAAAGAAAACTTCCCCTTTGCCCTCCGAAGTTTTGCTGAAAAATCAACAAACAAAAGGCCGATTAATAGAATAAATGACATGCAATTTTAACATGCTCAGGGAGAACCACAGAGTGATTACTCCCAATCCCAATAGTGTTCATAAGCTTATAAAAGCATCTTGAGGTTTACAAAAAGAATAAAGGATTTGACCACATGTGGTGGCTCACTCCTGTAATGTCAGCATTTGAGGATGCTGAGGTGAGAGGATCGCTTGAGCTCAGGAGTTCGAGACAAGCCTGGGTAACATAGTGAGACTGTGTCTCTACAAAAAATAAAAAATATATATTAGTCAAGCATGGTGGTGTGTGCCTGTCTTCCAAGCTACTTGGGAGGCTGAGGTAAGAGGATTACTTGAGCCCGGGAAGTCAAGGCTGCAGTGAGCTATGACCATGCTACTACACTCCAGTCTGGGTGACAGAACAAGACTCTGTCTCAAAAAAAAAAAAAAAAAATGGTGGCTTGAATCATGGCAAAACAGGTTATAGTGGCATTACAAATACTAAACAGAGAGAAGAAGTAGTCTGTTATGTAGATGAGACATCACAGGTATGGCCCTTAGAGAGAATAGTTGGTAAGTGTTTCTTTCAAAACTTTAAAAGTTTCAGGCTCTCAGTTAATATTTCTTAGATATGAATGAGAAACAAGAGAAGGCCCTCAGAAAAAGCCTTACTACATCAATGGAGATTTTTTTCTACAGATTCATATCTCTCCCACAAAAGATAGCATTTCAGCAAATTCCAACCTTTTTAAATAGCCATCTTGAAATATGTCAAAGAAATATATTTTGGAGTGAAATATTTTGGTTTCTTTCAAAGTTCATAACACTTTACAGATATTACCACCATGATAGGTGATGAAACTCAGAGAAATGTGACTGCTTTCCATTCTTAACCAGAACATCCCTGTTAAAGGACAAGACCCAAGGATCAATGCAAATGGCCAAACTTCTTGTAGTCACCTTGGCACTGGATGCCCTATCCAACAAATGTCCTGTTTTGCAAATTTTACTAATTCTGGGCCACTGACTAGGAGCTTCCCCCTTTGGGGTAAAGCACTCATAGTTTCCTGACTCACATATACCGAAAATTTTAATCAAGTTTATGAATATCTCTAGACTACTAAGGCTGTAAAACAAGGCTTTACCAGGACACTTATCTTTTTGAGTTCCAGATATTAATGATCATGATCAAGGCACTTTTACCTCTCAGAATATACAATTCTGGGTTCTCAAAGAAGGTATTTAGTGGACTTTACATTTCACCTATAGGTCTCAAGCAGAAGTTTAATTGAGAAGTATAATGAAATCCTCAGAGATACTAGTTAACTGACAAATGGCCAAGAGAACCCCAATGGATGTTATTATTGCCAGAGGCATTAATTAATCTCAAATCACATGCCCTGGAGACATGCTCTCCCTACACCAATGTCACACAAGTCCCTCGATTTCTTTTACTGGACATAAAGAGAGATACCTCTAAAATTCATTCTTTTTGATGACTACCTCATTATGTGGCCTTCTTCCTCTATTTCATGCACTAAATTCGCTAGGGATGCACTTGTCCTACTCCCTAAAAGTTTTAGCCATTATTGAGTTTAAATTGATACCAAGGAATCAAAGGTCAATTGTGGGTTAAGGTCTAAAATAAAGGTCCAATATTATGTGCCTTCTTGGTATCTGGTAACATCATTAGTGTTTCAAATGGCCTAACTACATGTTCACCTCCCCTTCTGCTCCCATGGATAAAGCAGAAAAAAAAAATGCACACACACAAAAACAGAAAAAAACAATTCTCGTTATGAAAAGTACCAGCAGTAGTTTCTGTATATTCTTGATAAGTGGATTTCAGTGCCCTACCAGCCTACAGAATTATGCAAAGAAACCAATTACATTCTCCTGCAGCAAACAGGGGACATCCCACCCTCTTCACACTAAAAAATCTGTTTCTCAAAGTTCCTGGTTGTTCACTCTGTTCCTGGATGTAACCCTTGTGTGGTCCTGTGTGTTATGCAGTGTCTTCTCCTGTGGCTGTGCTTGTATGTGAGAAACAAACTGCCCTCGATTTCATCTATCAAGAGTCAGTCATATGTTTGGCCATCTCCATAACTCTAGGGAATTCCTTCCTCACCAACAGAGTTATTAGTTGATGATATAACAAAAGACAACCTACAAAATGTAAGAAATTATTTGTAGACAATATATTTGATAAGAGACTAGTATCTGGAATATATAAAGAATACTGAAAACTCAATAATAAAAAAAGAAATTACTCATTTTTAAATGGGCAAAGGATGTGAATAAACATTTCTTCAAAGCTACGCAAATGGCCAGTAAATACATGAAAAGACGTTCAATATCATTAGTTATTAGAAAAATTCACAAGCACCAAAACTGGTTATGCACTAAGATGGCTATAATAATAAAAGACAATAACAAGTTTTGACAAGGATGTGGGTGAACTGCAACTCCTCTACATAACTGGTGGGATAGGAAAATTGTACAATTACTTTGGAAACCTACTTTTTAATTTTTCTAAATGCTAAATATATAATTAGTATATGATCCAGCAATTTCAATACTTAGCTATACATTCCAGAGAGTTGAACATTTATGCTTACACAAAAACCTGATATGATACTTCATAGAAGCATCTTCCAAAATAATAAAAAAGTATACAACTCAAATGTCCAAAAGCTGATTAATGAATAAAGGAATATGACATAGTTATAAATGGGATGGTATTTTGTGATGAAAGGGAATGAAATACTAATACATGCTATAACTTTCCAAAACAATATAACATGGGAAAGAGATATATAATTTGCTGTGGACTCAGTAATTATTCTAAATGACTTTTGTTTTAGCATGTTTAATTTTGTATAATATGTTTTTTAATGCTGTCTGTTAATTTTTCTGGCTTTCCAACCATACAGTAGCTGCATGTTTATCACCGCAAATCTTAATCATAAGGGCAAATCTTAATCATAAGAGAAAATCTTAATCATAAGAGCACCAGCAGTGATGGTTCTAGGCAGCAGTGCTGTTTTCAGAGTTACATAGTATAACAATAATCTCTCCTTGTTATTACCCCACAAAATCAAGATAATTCAGTGACAACATAGAGAGTAAGTGCCTTCTCTATTGGTCATATTATCTTACTTTCAGCCTCATTGTTGCAAAGACCTCAGCAGCTAATGTTGAATATGATGACACAAAATTATTTTGTCAAATAAAGGCATTTGAATTTACTGACTGTTTGAATACCTGGAACAGAGGCAGGCAAACTTCAGCCCACAGGCCAACTTGACCTATAAACTGTTTTTGTAAATGTGGCTTTGTTAGAACACAGCCAGGTCCATTAGTTCATAAATTATCAATGGCTGATTTCACATCATAATAGCAGAGTTAAGTAGTTAAGACAGATGATCTGTGCACAGAGCCAAAAATATCTACCCTCTGGCTCTTTACAGAGTAGATTTGCTGACCTATTGTCTACAGTGAGAATGTTGGATCTGTAAGAACCGTAAGAATTGTCTAGTTCATGACCTTTCTTTTGTAAGTGAGAAAACAGCGCCAAATGTGTCAGAAAACTAAGGTGCAATAATCACAACAATTGTCAAAACAAATAGTAAAACAAAATGACAAAATATATTATTTACTAACTCCACTATGTGCCAAGTATGCAATTGGGTAGTTATAAACCAATTTTAAAAGGTGAAATTAGTCCCTAAATGTGCTTAATAAACTGACCCACAAACATTTATGTTGTACACAGTTGAGCAAACTTGTGAATCTTCCTTTTTCAAGCCTCTGTTTTATCCTACCAAACCACATTTCCTCAAGAAAATGAATAATTTTCCAAATTTCAAAAATTTCTCCATTAGGCCTACTATTGCATGTAAGTAACAACTTTCCATGAAGGATTTTAAGTTACAATGTAAACATCATATACCATAATTGACCAAGGATCAATGATCATATTTTGTTGATTGTCAGATATGGTGCTTCATTATACATTTTAAGTGGTTTTTTTTTCATTTTAATTTTTCATGGGTATGTAGAAGATCTATATATTTATGGAGTACATAAGATATATTGATACAGGCATACAATATGTAATAATCACATCAGGGTAAATGAACTATTTATTACCTCAATCATTTATCCTTTTTGTTACAAACAATCCAGTTACACTCTTTTAGTTATGTTAAAATTAACAATAAATTATTATAACCTACATTCACCCAGTTGTGCTGTCAAATACTAGGTCTTATTTATCCTTTCTAACTACTTTTTGAACCTGTTAACCATCCCCAGTTCCTCCGCATTCTCTGGTAATGATCCTTCAACACTCTGTCTCCTAGGGTTCAACTACTTTAATATTCAACTCCCACAAATGAGTGAGAATATGTGAAGTTTATCTTTTTATGCCTAGCTTATTTCACTTAGCATAATGACTTCCAGTTCCACTCATTTTGTTGCAAATGGAAGGACCTAATTACTTTTTATGGCTCAATAGTACTTCATTGTGTATATGTACCATATTTTCATTATCCGGTCAGGTGTTGATGAAAACGCAGGTTGTTTCCAAATTTTGACTATTGTGAATAGTCCTGCAGTATATGTGAGTGTGCAAATATCTCTTTGATATTGGATATATGCCTACAAGTGGGATTGCTGGATGGTATGATAGCTCTAGTCTTAGTTTTTTCAGGACTCTCCAAACTGTTCTCCATAGTGGTTGTACTAATTTACATTCTCACCAACAGTGTAGGTGGAATCCCTTTGCTCCACATCCTCGCCAGCATTTGTTATTGTCTGTTTTTGGATTAAATTTATTTTAACTGAAGTAAGATTATATCTCACTGTAGTTTTGATTTGCATTTTTCTGATTACCAATGATGTTGAGCACCTTTTCATACAATTCTTTGCCATTTATTTGTCTTCTTTTGAGAAATGTCTATTCAATTCTTTTGCCCATTTTTAAATTTGATTATTAAATTTTTTCCTATAGAGTTGTTTGAGCTTATTATATATGCTGGTTATGAATTTCTTGCCAGATGGATAGTTTATAAGTGTTTTCTCCTTTTCTGTGAGTTATCTTCTCACTTTGTTGATTATTTCTTTTGCTGTGCAGAAGCATTTTAACATTATTTCATCCCATTTGTCCATTTTGGCTTTGGTTGCCCACGCTTGTGGGGTATTTACTTAAGAAATCTTTGTCCAGTCCAGTGTTCTGGAGAGTTTTCCCTATGTTTTCATTTTGTAGCTTCATAGTTAGAAGTCTTAGCTTTAAGTGCTTAATCCATTTTGATTTAATTTTTGCATATGGTGAGAGATAGTGGTCTAGTATTATTCTTGTGCATATGGATGTCCATTTTTTTTCAGCACGATTTATTAGAGTGACTGTCCTTTCCCTATTGTATGTGCTTGGCACTTTTGTCAAAAATGTATTCACTGTAGATGAATGGGTGTGTTCTCCATTCTCCATTCTGTTCCATTAATCTATGCATTTGTTTTTATTTCAGCATCATACTGTTGTCATTACTATAGGTTTGTAGTATAATTTGAAGTCAGACAATGTGATTCCTCCAATTTTGTCCTTTTTGAAAAAGATAGCTTTGGCTATTCTGGGTCTATTATGATTTTGTATGAATGTCATGATTGTTTTTTCAATTTCTATGAATAATATTATTGGTATTTTGATAGGCATTGCATTAAATCTGTAGATTGCTTTGGGTTGTATGGACATGTTAACAATATTGATTCTTCCAAACCATGAACATAAAATATCTTTTCATCTTTTGGTGTCCTCTTCAATTTCTCTCATCAATGTTTCATAGTTTTCATTGTAGAGATCTATAACTTTTTTAGTTACACTAATTCTTAGGTATGTGATTTTATTTGTAGCTATTGTAAATAAAATTATGTTTTTTAATCTTTTTCAGATTGTTCATTGTTAATGATTTTTGCTATTGATTTTTGTATGTTGATTTTGTATCTTGCAACTTCACTGAATTCATTTATCAGTTCTAATCATTTTTAGTGGGGTGTTTAGGTTTTTCGAAATATAAGATTGTAACATCTGCAAAAAAAGGATAATGTAAATTCTTCCTTTCCATATTGGATGCCCTTTATTTCTCTTGTCTGATTGCTTTAGCTAGAACTTCCAGTACTATGTTAATAACAGTGGTGAAAGTGGGCACCCCTGTCTTGCTCCAGATCTTAAAGGAAACACTTTCAGCTTTTCTTCATTCAGAAAGATACTACCTGTGAGTCTGTTATGTATGGCTTTTATTGTGTTGAGATGTGTTCCTTCTATACTCAGATTTTTCTGAGTTGCTTTTTTAACTTTTAAGTTCAAGGGCATGTGTGCAGGTTTGTTACATAGGTAAACTTGTATCATCGGGGTTTGTTGTACAGATTATTTCATGACCTAGGTATTAAACTTAGTACCCATTAGCTATTCTTCCTGACCCTCTCCCTCCTTTCACCCTCCACCCTCCAATAGGCCCCAGTTTGTGTTGTTTTCATCTATGCGTCCATGTGTTTTCATCATTTAGCTCCCACTTATAACTGAGAACATGCAGTATTTGGTTTTCTGTTCCTACGTTAGTTTACTAAGGGTAGTGGTCTCCAGCTTCATCCATGTTCCTTCAAATAACTCATTCTTTTTTATGATCTCATTCTTTTTTATGTCTGCATAGTATTCCATGGTGTATATGTACGACATTTTGAAATTCGGTCTATCATTGATGAGCATTTAGTTTGATTCCATGTCTTTGCTATTGTGAATAGTGCTGCAATGAACATACGCATCCATGTTTCTTTATAACAGAATGATTTATATTCCTTTAGGTATATAACCAGTAATGAGATTGCTGAGTCAAACAGTATTTCTGTTTTTAGGTCTTTGAGGAATCACCACACTGTCTTCCACAATGGCTGAACTAATTTACACTCCTACCAAGAGTGTATCAGCATTCCTTTTTCTCCACAATCTCGCCATCATCTGTTATTTTTTGTCTGTTTAATAATTAACCATTCTGACTGGTATGAGATAGTATCTCATTATGGTTTTGACATACACTTCTCTGATGATCAGTGATGTTGAGCTTTCTTTCATATGATTGTTGGCCCCATGTATGTCTTCATTGGAAAAGTGTCTTCTCGTGTCCTTTGCCTACATTTTAATGGTTTTGTTAGTGTTTTCTTTTTCTTGTAAATTTGTTTAAGTACTTTATAGATGCTGGATATTAGGCCTTCATCAAATGCATAGATTGAGTAATGAAAGAATGTTGAATTTTATCAAATGTTTACTCAGTATCAATTGAAATGACCATGTAATTTCTTTCCTTCATTCTGTTAATATAATGTATCATACTGATTGCTTTGTCAATCTGAAACCATTTCTGCATCCCTGGAATAAATCCCACTTGGTCATTATCTTTTTAATATGTTGTTGAATTTGTTTTGCTGGTATGTTGTTCAGAATTTTTGCATCAGTCTTCATCAAGGACCCATCAATGATAGAATGGATAAAGAAAATGTGGTACACATACACCATGGAGTACTATGCAGCCATAGAAAAGAGCTAGCTCATATCTTTTGCAGGAACATGGATGGAGCTGGAGGCCATTATCCTTAGCAAACTAACACAGAAACAGAAAACCAAATATTGCATGTTCTCACTTATAAGTGGAATCTAAATGATGAGAACACATGGACGCATCAAAGGGAACAACACACACTGGGGCCTTTTGGATGGTGGAGGGTGGAAGGAAGGAAAGGATCAGCAAAAATAACTAATCGTTACTATGCTTAATACCTGGGTGAAAAAATAATCTGTACAACAAACTCCCATGACACAAGTTTACTTATATAATAAGTCTGCAATTTTACCCCTAAACTTAAAATAAATGTTTTAAAAAAATGTTCATCAAGGGTATTGGCCTGCATTTTTGTGTGTGTGTCTTTGTCTGGTTTTGGTATACGGTAATACTGGCCTCGTAGAATAAGTTTGGAAGTATCCTCTCTTCCTTTATTTTTTGAAATAGTTTGAGTAGGATTGGTACTAGTTCTTTTAAAATGTTTGATAAAATACCACAATGAAACTATGGGGGTCTGGACTTTTCTTTGCTGGGAGACTTTTTATTATGGCTTCAATCTTGGTACTTGTTATGGCCCTACTCAGATTTTGGAATTTTCATGGCTCAATCTTGGTAGATTTTAAGTGACTAGAAATTTGCCCATTTTTTTTAGGTTTTCCAGTTTATTACCATATAGTTGTTCATGGAAGCATCTAATGATCTTTTAAATTCCTTCTGTATCAGGAATAATGTCTCCTTTTTCATCTCTGCTTTTATTTATTTGTGTCTTCTCTCTTTTTTTCTTAGTCTTGCTAAAGGTTTTTCAATTTTTTATATATTTTTTAAAAAGTTTAAATTTTCTTAATTTTTTTTTTTTTTTGATACATGGTCTCACTCTGTCACCCAGGCTGGAGTGCAGTGGCATGATCACGACTCACTGCTGCCTCAACCTCCTGGGCTCAAGCTATCCTCCTGTCTCAGCTTCCCAAGTAGCTGGGACTACAGTCACGTACAAACATGCCCAGCTAATTTTTGTATTTTTTGTATTTTTGTACGTTTTTTTCAAGTTTCATTCTTCTGCATAGGGCTAGTCAACTATGCCAGCACTGTCTATTTAACAGGGAGTATCTTTTATGGAGTGTCTTTTTCCATCTCTTTAGTTTTAGTCTTTGTGTGTCTTTATAGGGGAAATGTGTTTCTCGTAGGCAATAGATTATTAGGTCTAGCTTTTTAAAAATTCATTCATCCATTCTATATATTTTGATTGGAGAGTTTCTTTTATTTTTAATGTTATTATTGATAACGAAGGAATTACTCTTGCTATTTTGTTATTTGTTTTCTAGTTGTTTTGTGGTCTTCTCTTCTTTACTTCCATCTTTCCTGTCTTCCTTTCAGGGAAGATTATTGTCTCTGGTGGTATGTTTTAATTTATTGTTTTTCAATTTTGTTTACCTGTAGTATGTATTTCATGTGAGGTTACCATGAGGCCTGCAAATACTATCTTATAACCCATTATTATAAACTGAAGAAAATTTAACATTGATTACATAAATAAAAAAGCAAAAGGAAAATTTATAAAAACTCTATATTTTAACTTAATCCCTCCACTTTTTAACTTATTGTTGTTTCTATTTAATTCTTATTTTACTCCCTATGTATTGAATGGTTTTATAGTTATTATTTTTATCATTTCCTCCTTTAGTCTTTCTACCCAAGATATGAGTAGTTTACACACCACAATTAAAGTGTTATAATATTCTGTGTTTTTCTGTATTCCTATTATTACTGGTAAGTTTTGTACCTTCAGACAATTTTTTATTGTTCATTAATATCCTTCTGTTTCAGATTGAAGAACTCCCTTTAGCATTTCTTGCAGGACAGGTGTCATGTTGATGAAATTCCTCAGCTTTTATTTTCCTGGGAAGGTCCTTATTTCTTCATGCTTAAAGAATATTTTCACTGGATATACTAGTCTAAGGTAGAAGTTATTTTCCTTCAGCACTTTCAATATGTCATGTCACTCTCTCCTGGCCTGTAAGGTTTCCACTGAATGTCTGCTGCCTATTGGAGTGCATTGTATGTTATTTGTTTCTTTTCTCTTGCTGCTTTTAGGATCCTTTACCCTTGAGTTTTGGGACTTTGATTTTTTTTTTTTTTTTTTTTTTGACAGAGTCTCATTCTGTTGCCAGGTTGGAGTGCAGTGGTGCAACCTTGGCTCACTGCAATCTCTGCCTCCTGGGTTCAAGTGATTCTGCTGCCTCAGCCTCCCGAGTAGCTGGGACTACAGGCATGTGCCACCACGCCCAGCTAATTTTTGTATTTTTAGTAGAGACAGGGTTTCACCATGTTGGCCAGATGGTCTCAGTCTCTTGACCTCATGATCTGCCTGTCTCGGCCTCCCAAAGTGCTGGGATTACAGGCGTGAGCCACCACTCCCTGCCAGGACTTTGATTATTAAATCCCTTGAGGTAATCTTCTTTGGGTTAAATCTGCTTGGCATTCTATAACTTTCTTGTACTTGAAGATTGATATCTTTTAATAGGTTTGAGAAGTTCTCTGTTATGAACGGCTTGAATAAACTTTCTATCCTTATCTCTCTCTACCTCCTCTTTAAGGGCAATATGTCTTAGATTTGCTGTTTTCAGGCTATTTTCTAGATCTCATAGGTATGTATTTTTCTTTTTCTTTTTTCTTTTGTCTCTCTTGACTATGTATTTTCAAATACCCTGTCTCCAAGCTCACGAATTCTTTCTTTCTTCTGCTTGATCAATTCTGCTATTAAGAGCCTCTGATGCATCCTTCAGGATGACAGTTGTATTTTTCAACTCCAGCAATTCTGCTTGATTCTCTTTAATTATTTGAATATCTACTAAACTTATCTGGTAAAAGTCTCAATTTCTTTTGTGTGTTATGTAGAATTTCATTGAGTTTCCTCAATAAAGGCATTTTGAATTCTCTGAAAGGTCACAGAACTCTGTTTCACCAGGATTTGTCCCTGGTGACTTTCTATAGTTATTTTGGTGAGGTCATGTTTTCATGGATGGTCTTGATGGTTGTGAATGTTCATCAGTTTTTGAGCATTAAAGAATTAAGTATTTATTGTAGTCTTTGCAGTCTGAGCTAGTTTATACCTGTCCTTCTTGGGAAGGCTTTCCAAGTATTCAAAGGGACTTTGGTGTTTTTATCTAAGTTTTTGGTCACTTAAGCTGTATCTGCATCAGAGTGCACCCCCAGCCCAAAAAGACTGTGGCTTTTTCATACTTATAGAAGTACTGCCATGGTGGTCTTGGATAAAATCTAGGAGAATTATCTGAATTACTAGGCAGAGACTCTTGTTCTCTTCTTGTGCTTTCTCCAAAACAAACAGGGTCTCTCTCTCTGTGCTGAGTTGCTTGGAGCTTGGGGAGGGGTGACACAACCACCCCTGTGGTCAACATCACTGGGACTGCTGTGTGGGACAACACAGCACTGGGTCTTGTGCAAGGCCCATTGTAATCACTATCTAGTTGCTGCCTTTGTTCACTTAAGTCCCTAGGGTTCTACGATTAGTAAGTGGTGAAATCAGCCAGGCTTGCTTTTTCCGTTCATGGTGGCCCAGGACAAGTTCAGGAATGTTACCCAGAATCTAGGGTCTAGCGTCAGAGGCCTTAGAATTCTACCTGCTGCTCTATTCGTCTGTGTCTGAGCTGGCATCCAAGCCACAAGACAAAGTCTTTTTCACTTTTTCCTCTTCTTTTCAGAAGCGGGGATTCTCTCCCCATGCCCTCCATCCCCACATGCCCACAGGGAGTACTGCCAGGTGACCAGCAATATACCCTCAAGGTCCAAGGGCTCTTTAGTCAGCTAGTAGTGAATGCTGCCAGGCCCGGGATTCACCCTTCAGGGAAATTGGCTCTATTCTGGCCCAAGAAAGGTCCACAAATAACATCCAAGAGCCAAAGCCTGGAATTGGGGTCCCAGAAAGTCCACTATGTGCTCTACCTCACCGTGGCTGAGCTGGTACCTGAGGTTCAAGAGAAAGACTCCTTTTCTTTCTGCTTCTCAAAAGCAGAAGGAGTCTGTCCTCATAGCCACCACATCTGTAAATGTTCTGGGTCACACCTTAAGCTAGCAGGTCTCAGAGTCCCACCCAAAGCCCATGCCAGGTACTACTTGACTACCACGATTGTTTATTCAGGGCCCAAGAGCCCTTTAGTCAGAAGATGATGTATACTATTAGGACTGGGTCCTTCTCTTCAAGGCAGCGAGTTTCCTTCTGGCTCAGGGTATGACTAGAAATGTCATCCAGGACCTAGAGCCTGTAATGGGGACCTGAAGACTCTGCCTGGTGCCCTATTACTGTGGGTGAGCTGGTCTCCATGTTGCAAGACAAAGTCCTTTTTACTCTTCCCTCTCTTTTCCTCAAGTGGGAGGAAGGAGTCTCTTTAAGAGCTTTGAGCTGCGTTGCCTGGTATTGGAAGTGGGGTGGCGGAAGCATTCCCTTGGCCATTCCATTGTCTCACTAGGTTGTGTGCCCCCAAAGTACAGTGGCTCCAAGCCCAGCACAGCACTAGGACTTGCCTGGGAGTTGCAGGCTTTGTGGCCTAGAATGCCTTTCAAGTTAATTAAGTACTCTACAGGACTTTAGTTTACAGTGGCTAGTCTTGCCAGACCTCAAGTTAGAGCCACTGGGATGGATGATTCTCCTCTGCTTAGATATGGTCTAAATGCTCCCTCCACAGGCATTGGCTGAGTTCTGTGTGATGTTACTTTCACTGTGATAGGACAGCACTGAGTGCCAATGCAAAGTCTCACAATCACAATTCTTTTCCTCTCCCTAGAGCACAGATTGTCTCTCTGGGCAACAGGGCTGCTGCTGGTTGATGTGGTAGGGGTGGCATCAGCAACTCAAGATTATATTTTCTGCCCTCTTCGGTGCTTTCTTCAATGATATAAAGTTAAAACCAGGTACTGTGGTTACTCACCTGATTTTTGGTTCTTATTAATGTGCGTTTTTGTGTAGATGTGAAATTTGGTGTTCCTGCAGGGAGGACAATTGGTAGAAGCTTCTATTCAGTCGTCTTGCTCCCCTGGGCATTTCATCATATATTGCAAGTACTTTCATTCTATTTTCAGTAAAGAAATTATCTATAAACAAAGTTCATTGGTAAGAAACAGTTAAGAAAGAAATATTTAATTTTAAAAATATGAGTTAGAGAAGGACAAATATGGCTGAACAACATTTTCTGAGAAATATGTTTTCTGAACAAAGTAATTTGCTGCATCAAGGTTTTCAAATTATTGAATCATGATGATTATCCACTTATACTTAACAAAATGTGAACATTTTAAAAATTTTGTTTTATTAGTAATAAAATAACCTACCAACCAACAAAATCCCCTGGCTTCATAGATTCATAGTTTAATTGAACAAGAGATGGAAAGAAGAGCTTGTACCAATCCTGCTGAAACTATTCAATAAGTTGGAAAGAAAGGATTTCTCATTAGCTGATTCTATGAAGCCAACATCACCCTGATACCAAAATCTGGCAAAGATACAACAAAAAGAGAAAACTAGGGCCCGATATCCCTCATAAACATAGACATAAAAATCCTCAACTAATTCTAGCAAACCAAATCTGGCACCATGTTAAAAAATAACTCACCACGATCAAGTAGGCTTCACTTCTGGGATGCAAGGTTGTTTCAACGTATACAAATTAAGAAATGTGATTCACCACATTAACATAATTAGAAAGAAAAACCATATGATCACCTCAATAAATGCAAAAATGCTTTTGGTAAAACATAACATCCCTTCATGACAAAAGCCTTCAAGTAATTAGATATCAAAGAGACTTAAAATAATAAGAGCTATCTATGACAAACCCACTGCAAACATCATACTGAATAGGCAAAAACTGGAAGCATTTCCCTCGAGAACTGGAACAAGATCCCCACTCTAATCACTTCTATTTAACAAAGACTGAATGTTCTCACCAGGGCAATCAAGCAAGATGAAAATATAAAATGCATGCAAAAGAAAAAAGTCAAATTATCTCTCTTCATGGACAATATAATTTTATACTTACTAAAACCCTAACGACTCTGCCAAACAGCTTCTGGAACTGATAAATGACTTCATTAAAGTTCAGGACAAAAAATCAATGTACAAAAATCAGTAGTGTTTCTATACACCAATAATGTTCAAGCTGAGAGCAAAATCAAGAACAAAATCGAATTTACAGTAGCTTCAAAAATACCTAGAATTGTATCTAATGAAGGAGATGAAAGATCTCTATAAGAACTATAAAACACTGCTGAACATAATGACAGATGACAAAAACAAATGGAAAAAACATTCCATGCTCATCAATTGGAAGAATCACTATCATCGAAATGGCCATACTGTTCAAAGGAACCTATAGATTTGATGCTATTCCTATCAAATTACCGATGTCATTTTTCATGGAGGTAGAAAACATTATTCTAAAATGTGTATGGAACAACCACAAAAAAAGAGCCCAAGTAGCCAAAGCAATGCTAAGCAAAAAGAGTGACCACATTACCTGACTTTAAACTATACTATAATGCTGCAGTAAATAAAACAGCATAGTACGGATACAAAAACAGAAGCATAGACCAATGGAACAAAACAGAAAGCTCCCCCACCCACTGCCAAAAAAAAAATAGCTGTACATTTGCAGCTATCTGGTCTTCAACAAAGTTGATAACAATAAACAATGAGTAAATAACTCCTTATTAAATAAATGGAACAGGGATAGCTGGCTAGCCCTATGCAAAAGAATGAAACTTGACCCCTACCTGTCACAATATACAAAAATTAACTCAAGACAGATTAAAATCTTAAATGTAAGACTTCAAGCTATAAGAATCCTAGAAGAAAACTTAGGAAATAGCCTTCCCAAACTGGCTTTGGGAAATAATTTTGGATGAAGTCCTCAAAAGCATTTGCAACAAAAACAACACTTGACAAGTGGAACCTAATTAAACTGGAGAGCTTCTGCACAGCAAAATAAACTATCAACAGAGTAAAAAGACAACGTGCAGAATAAGAGAAAATATTTGCAAACAATGCATCTGACAAATATCTATTATCTAGAATTGTTAAGGAATCTAAACAATTGAAGAAGAAAAAAGCAAATAACCCCAATGGGCAAAGGACATGAACACTTTTCAAAAGAAGACATGCAAGCAGCCAACACACATATGAGAAAAAGGCTAAACGTCACTAGTTATTGGAGAGATGCAAATGAAAACCACAATGAAATACCATCTCACAGTAGTCAGAATAGCTATTACTAAAAAGTCTAACAACAATAGATGCTGGTGAGGCAGTTGTGAAATGGGAATGCTTATACACTATTGACAGGGAATATAAATTAGTTCATTCGTTCAGACACTGTGTAAAGCAGTTTGGGGATTTATCAAAGAACTTAAAAGAGAACTACCATTCAGCTAACCAATCTCATTACTGGGTATATATCCAAAAGAAAATAAATCATTCTATGCATTTGTAGGTCCATTGCAGCACCAGTCACAATTGCAAAGACATGAAATCAACCTAGGTGCCCATCAACGATGGAATGGATACAGAAAATATGGTGCATATACACCATGGAATACTACACAGCCATGAAAAGGAACAAAATTGCATATATTGCAGTAACATCGACACAGCTGGAGGCCATTATCCTAAGCGAATTAACACAGGAACAAAAACCAAATACCAGTGGGTACTCACAGACATAAAGATGGCAGCAATAGACACTGCAACTACTATACAGGGGAGATAGGGAGGAGGGAAAAGGTTTTAATAGTGTTTTGTTTTTGTATTTTCTCGATGTTTTGTTTTGAAACTTTAAAATTATATACATAAAAAGATTAGGATAATGAAGCCCTTGCATACCCTACACCTGAATTGGCCAATCATTAAAACTTTCAACATTTGCTTTATCTGTATCTATGCATGCATGTATTATATTTTCTTTTTTCCCCTGCCCCAATATATAAATTCTTACTTCCAAAAAATAATTTTTACTGTACATAAAAACTACTTCACAAAATGAGAATAAAAATATTTTTAAATGTCACAGACAAAATGTGTAGTTATTGTAAGCCACAATATGTACTTTCACTGAAATTAGGAAGTGAGAGACATTGTTTCATTATTTTGATGCTGAGTAATTGTATTTTAACAGTTTACAATTTTTGTCTCACTTGCTTTTTGAATTATTATCTTAGGTAGCACTTTAAGAAGAAATGACATATTCACAACTAATACAAGTTCATTATTGAATCCACTTGAAATGTATCCAACCACCCAAATGTAATTTGCTAACATATAGAGACTATCCACCAAATTGGGAATATTGCTTTTGGAGGTGAATTAATTTGCTGTTACCATTGACAGCAATGTGTGCATTTCATAAAAATTTAATGAAGAAAGTTTGGTATCTTAACATGTGAAATAGGTTTGCTTATTCATCTCATAAATTCTTGTGGAAAGAGGTTTTTTTCTGACTGGAGTAATTTCTACTCTCCTAGTAAGATAACATAGTACTGACTTTGGTGTTGTCCATGAGACAGGTTCATCAACATTCATGTGTCCCCTCTGTAACACAGATTCTATGTTCACCACATATTAGGATTTATGCTTGGGAAATTTTTAGCAGGATTGTTAATCTGATTGTACAAGCCCTGAAAATCATGTTTACCTATATTACACCTATCTCGCCTGTGCATGCTCACTTAAATATGTTGCACTTGAAAACTTTTTTCTTTGTTGACAAAAATTGCCTCTACCACTGCTATGATTCACTGCTCTCATTTTGTGTATCCTACTGGGAATAAAGTTCTTATTTTCTCACCCCATAAAGGTGGCATAATGTGAGAGAAAGACCACCCATATTACTGCATCCATTTTTACTGAGAAAAGTTTCCCATTGTAGACATTGATAAAATAAAAACCTCCACCAAATTAAATTTTAAAAGAGTTTAATTGAGCAATGAATGATTCACAAATTGGGCAGCCTTCTGAGCCAGAGTATGCTCAGAGACTCCAGCACAGTCATGTGGTGGAAGAAGACTTATTGACAAAAAAAAAATAAAAAAGAGAAAGTGACGTACAGAAAATGGAAGTGAGTTACAGAAACAGCCGGATTGGTTACAGCTTGGTGTTTGCCTTATTTGAACACGGTTCGAACAGTTAGCTATATTTGATTGGCCCAAACTCAGCGACTGGCACAAGTGTAACCTATGGTCTGTTTATACTTCCACTGGTTATAGTTCACAACTTACAGAGGAAACTTTAGGCTGAACTTAAAATATGGAAGGAGGCAGCTTTAGGCTAAAATTGATTTAACAATTCCCTCCTTTTGGTCATCTTCTCAATTTTGAGAGATTGATTGAAACTTTGCTCATTGATGTCACTATCACCATTGTAAACGTAGTTATTTGGTCTTGAAACCTACTGAAAAACAGTAGAAGAGTGGGTTTTGCAAGGTGGGAACAAGGCCTTCAGTTTTTTGTTTGTTCGTTTGTTTGTTTTATGGGTTAGAGTAGATGGTACTTACTTATGCGTGAATGTCCTGTTTACAGGAGAAAAAAAAAAACCCAAAACTGGGTCTGTTCTAGGATCTTTGTGTTTCCTTAAAATCTTAGTTTGATTATGCCACATTTAGCATGAGTGACTTCATTTTGATTTGGTCCAGGGCCTAGTACATGAGCTCAGTCCAAAACAATGGCCTCCCACAATTTTGTTTAAAAATTTCCCCTCTTTGGTCAGGTTCTTACTTAGGGAAGAGTGTGACCAAAATGTGGGGCCTTAGCATCACTCTCAGATACCATCATTTTGCATTTCCGGTCTCAGCGTGTCATTCATAGGTTATGGCTCCCTCATGGTCACACATTTTTTTCAGCTTTTGTCATTGCAGTTGAAGAGAGACCAGTTGACATTCTAGAGATTGCTACATGGAAACATTTAAAACTTTTGGGAGAATACAGCACACCAGCAGAAATACTATTATGACTATTAGGAGGATAATACCAAGAGTTTGGAGTATGCTCCTTATTTAGGATCCCCATAAACCAAACCATCTAAAATTAAATAGATCAAAGAATGAGCTAGATAGAGTTTGCTCACTTAACTAAGCAGTCTCTTTGTTAATCCCCTACAACCGAATCTCTCTAATACATGATGTGACGTATTTCTTTATAGGTCACAAGTGACAGAGGCTGTACAGATACTTCTCTGTGACAAAGCATACACATTAGCTACTCTGCTTAGCACCCAATATCAAACTGGGATGGCTTGATCTTTCCCCTGGTTGGGCTCTGTCATCTTTGCCTCCAATGAGGAGTTGCAACATGTGGTCTCTGGGCAAGATGGTCACCCTGAATAACAGAAAAAAGAGAAAAGGAAAAGGAGAGAAAGAGATAAAGAAAAGCATTGCCTGTGGTGGGGTGGGGAACGCAAAGAGCTCAGGGAGGCCAGAGAAAGACCCATCCATTGCAGAGATACTGAATCAAAAGTTCAGGTGGCTACTTGTCACTTGCTGGAAGTGATCTTTTCCATCAATCCTATAAGCTCTCAAGTTTCCCCCTTTGGGGAGAAAAAAGTTCCCCATGTCCTATGATCCTGTACATGCCTAATCCTGTCACCCATAGCCATCAGCAAAAAGTGCAAGGCCGATTAATCCAAAGAGAATAGGAGTTAACATCACATAGTGCCAAATCCGTTTTTAACCAAGAGGGATTTTAATGAGGGGAGGGCCTCTAACTCCCTATGTCTTAGGAGGGAATCTAAACTTCCTAAGTTGGGCCTCAAACTCAATTCCATTCTTTGCCCAGGTCAAACGTACCCCACTACTTACCAAAAGTCAACTAATTGGTACTGAAGTCGATTTCCTTTGGATCGGGATAGTAACTAAGCCAAAAATTAGCAGATTTAATTTTTTATATTAATTAATTGCTTAAGCTTTTTATTTGCCTTTTGTAAAAGCTTTAAATAAAAATATTGAAAAAATTTTAGAAGTTTCTGCGTATCATTAGGCATCCCTAGATGAGACTAATTTGGGAGGCTTCATTTTTTTTGGAGTTTTCCACTGTAAGTTATCTTTAGTAACATTTTGCCATTTCTATAAGACTTTGCTGCTTCCTGGGCCTGATACTTATGCATGTGTGAGCTGAAGGAACTCAGTTCTTCAGAAATTAAGGATCCCATTTTTACTTCAAATATTGACTTTGCTCTCATGTTCCCCTTCTCAACTTAGCCAGTGATTTTTTGCCTAAGTACACAAGAAGAATGAAATAAAGGGGTAGAAAACAAAAATTCCTGTGAGTTTTCCAAAGCCAAATTTAACACCCCCTGCAATATTGCCATTTACTACTGGTTTCTTTGACCCAGTCAGATGTAAGAGGCCTCTAACTGGATCCAAGCCAGTTAATTACCAGATTCAATCTGATCCTGCGCCCAGTCAAGTTTCTATTGTGACTTCCAAACCCAGTTTGGGTCAGAAATTTGCTTGAAGAAACTCAGAGAGCTTAAAACCCAAATCCGTAGAGCCTCAGAATCCGGCAGAGATCTTACCACGATTCCCAGCTTCTCTGAGAGAGCAATGGACACAGTGAGTCTGGCAGGTAGCTTGCTTGGTCACTCAGCACTCCTGGGGGTTGTTAGAAACTCTATTATGGATCCCACTTCATTGAGCAATGAACAATTCACAAATCAGGTGGCCTACCAAGCCAGAGTATGCTCAGAGACTCCACTGCAGCCACGTGGTGGAAGATTTATGGGACAGAAAAAGAAAAGTGACGAACAGAAAATGAAAATGAGGTACAGAAAGAGCTGGATTGGCTATAGCTCAGCATTTGCCTTATTTGAACACAATTCAAACAGCTGGCTACATTTGATTGGGCAAAACTCGGTGACTGGCACAAGTGTAGGCTATGATGTGTTTACACTTCCAATTTTATAGTTCACAATGTGCAGAGAAACTTTTAGGACAAACTTAAAATATGTAAGGAGGCAGCTTTAGGCTAAACTTGATTTAACAACACTATATTTATTCTCAGAAAGATGTTTTGGTTTCAGTAAAAGGGTTCATTAGTGTGTATGTGTGTATGAATTTTTATTTTTTGGTATTATAGCACCTATAGCCTAATATCCAAATAAATGCTAAAGTAGTTTTATTGTTATATAAAGCTTTAGAAAAGAAAAATATTTTGCCAATCGATGAACTAGGTGCAGTCCTCAAAAAATGTTAGCAAAACAATGTAATTATGTTTTCTCTAAAAAGAAATTGTGAAGGAATAGGTTGGTACAGAGATCTTATTTAGGAATACAGTCCTTTAGCAACTAATTTGCATGTGATTCTTTGGATTCAACTGATGCTAGAATCTCTATTTTTAAAGAAATGGTTTTGCTTGAATTAAAATGATCTAAGACACCAATTTGTGTTCACATATATAAACAAATATATATTCACATTAATTTATAGGCTTAATTTCTCATATGACTATAAAGAATTATTCTGAGTCACATATCTCATAGGTTCCTTTCTCTTTTGATGTAATCAATTTTTGGTATATTATTAAACATTAAGTAATAACTGTGAGACTATTTTCTCTTTTCCCCAAATATAAAATTCATTTTTCATTTGCAGTTCTTATTCACTCCCTCTTAACTCCAACAATAAGCAACTCATAAAATAACTGCGATTAAATTTTATCAATCAATACACAGCATTCTCTTTAGCACTTGAATTATAAAATAGATTATCGAGAGAGAGACAACTTGTTTTCATACATCTGTCAGTGATCACTGGAAGTGAGGCTACTGGGCAATTTTTATAACACCCTGATATTACCTAAAATAATAACTATTAATATGAATGTGTGCTTAATTAAAAGATATGAATGCTTTTTAAGTCATATTAACCTAAAATCCAATCATTATAGAAGTCCCAAGCATAGACTTTTCACGTAAAAGTACTAAAATGAGGCAAAATTTATATCTTTTTTTTTAGATTCTAAATACCTTCAAATAAGATATATGCAATTTTTCACTTGAAAGATCTTAAAAGCAATCAGAGAATGTTCTCTAAGGAGAGTGGGTATTGACCTGATATTTCAGGATTAGAGTACCTTTTGAATTTGAGGGATAAAAGGAGTAGATCATAGTGTAAGGATCAAGGTGACAAAGACAGGGTTGTTAGACATTTAGAAAGTTAGACTATCAGACACTATCAGGAGAGAGAGACAACTTGTTTTTACACATCTGTCAGTGGTAACTGGAAATGAGGTTAGTGGGCAATTCTTTTACAACACCCTGATATTACCTAAAATAACAACTATTATTATAAATGTGTGCTTAATTAAAAGCTACGAAACTTTTTATGTCATAGTAACCTTAAATGAAATCATTATAGAATGTTTTAATTTTCTTAATATGGAACTTAAAGTTTCATAATTTCCTTAATATCTGAATCAATTCTGACTCTGAACTCAAGGATAATTTTGCTACACAAGTGGTGACTATACATAAGACCTGGTGGAAGCATTGTGGTTAGCATACCTTGTAGTGCTATTTGATAGTATCCCATGTAGAGAATGCACTTGGCATTTGAGGTGTATTCTGACCAGACCAGTGGCTACTTGTCTATCAGATATTCACTCTATGGTTACATATAAAACCATTTTCACTAACTCCTATTTTCTATAATTTTAAATCCCAGAGTCCACATTCTGTTAATGAACTGAAGTAATCTGTATGCCATGATCTAGAGAAGAATAAAAGTGCACATTTATGATATACAATGCTGTAAAGTCAGCTATCTTTTCATCAAAATTCATGGTTCTTCTATAAAATTGTCATTGTGAAGTGGCTGCCCAGCCATAAACTACATTTCTCAGATGCTTGTGGATATATGAAGGGCAACATAGTTAGTTCTTATGATAGAATATAAACAGAAATGATATGTGTCTCTTAAAGGCAAAGACTGTTAAAAAGCCAATGCATCTCTACCTTGCCTGTCTTTTCAAGTCAGCCAACTTTAAACAGAGGACTCAAAGGCCCTGAGGCACGCTGAAGCCACAAGATGAAAGAAGAATGAATCCTTAAACTTATGTATGCAGTATATCTGTGCATCTATTACAAACAAATATATTGGACTTATATATAAAAAGAAATAAATTATCTTTAGCTATGGACTCGAAATATTACTCCTGGCTGGCTTGTGGAAATAGCAAAGATAATAGAGAACACTGAATGAATTTGAGGCCTTATTGGATTAGAACATCTGAGTATGTTTGCACCCCAGAGAGTGGGAGATAAAACTGAAAAAGACTTTGAGCAACAGAGATTCATTAAGAATTTTTAGTTAAACAAAGGAACTCAGTCTTCCAAATAAAGATCATATTTAGGTGTTTCCTTTATCTATTCCAAACTATTACTTCAGATGACAGTAAATTATAAGTCATCAAGCTGAGACATGCAAAGGAGCAAGAAAGCCACAAAATACAACAGAGTTGAGATTTACATCCAGGAAAACTTTTCTATGTGGTTGTTGGTGTTTGGAATTGCTTAGACTCAAATAGATGAGAAAGTTACTAGGGTTTTGAGAAATTTTTTTTCTAAAATGATGGTAACAGTAAAACACACAAATCAGTCTGTGCAGTCCTTGAGGAGTATATCCTCCCACAAAGATGAGAAATGGGGATAATAGAAGACAAGGTACTTCCCACAGGGTGAAGCCAGGTGCCAATGGAAAAACAAATATATCAGATCACAAAATCAAAATATGACTTTTACCTATTGCCATGACATCAATGAATAGGGCCCTTCAAATATGAATTTAAAATGAAGTGCCTTCATTCTGGATCTGGAGGAATCCTGGTAGCTTCCAGTTCAAACTGTGTTGGCTGAAAGCTTTGTTCTCCAACTGACATATGAGTAGGATTTTGAATGCCAGAATCTGACATTATGAATAGATTTTTTGTTTTCTTCCTTTTATTTCTGGGATTTATCAATCATTATTAGATGCAAAAATACATAAGTAAGCATTCAAGTAACTTCTAAAAATATCAGTTATAACCAATAGGATCACCAAATTTATTTGGCAACTTTACATTACTTCAAGATTGGCAGTCAAAAATGACTTCAGAGTAGCTATACACAGACATTAGTGACTGTTACATTTATATTACCAGCCATGAGCTTTCCAAGGAACTCCAGACACTTACATTCAACTTCATATTAGCTATTAAGAATCTTTAAAATGGCTATTTTTTCTGCCTAAAAGATTTTTTCCATAGATGACTATCCACATAATAATTTTATATTATCCTTCATTGCTTTATTTTTTCTCATTTAGTACTCAATGATTTAAATATAATATGTATTTTACTTATAAATATTATTTGTTTACAATACTCATTAATATGGTGTTCCATGAAGGTAAGTATTTCTGTCTGTTTGGTTCACTGGATAAACCCTGGTGCATAGAACAATGATTGACATGAAGTAGGCACTCAATAAATATTGCCTCTTTCAAGTTCCCACAGATCTCTGGTTCTATTCTCTGAGTAACAGTCTGCTCCTAATAGTTCTATTTCAAAACTAGATCAATTGTTTGCATTTTCTACGTATATATTTTCAAACCACATCAAAATAAGTATAATATCCAAACAAATTCAAGCTTAAACATTTTAATTTTTCATTTAAAAATTTCTAACCAATTTTCATTTTGAAAATAGTTAACACTAAGAATGTCTCAATATTAGTAATTGCTGTGGTTTTAATATGTCCTCCATAGTTTATGTATTGGAAGCTTAATCTCCAGTGCAACAGCATTGAAATGTGGGACGCTCAAGGGGTCATTAGGCAGAACCCTCACAAGTGACTTAGTTATCAGGGGAGTGATTTTGTGAACAAGTGGTAAGTTCCACACCCTTTCTCTCTTGCTCCTGCACTCTCTTGCCATTCTGCCTTCCACCATGGAATGACACAGAAAAAAAGTCCTTGCCTGATGTGAGCCCCTTGACCTTGGACTTTCAGTCTCCAGAGCTGTGAGAAATAAATCTGTTCTTTATTAATTATTCAGTTTCGTGGAATATTACTAAATACCTATCAAAATTGCTATGGTTTTTTTAAAGTGACAATGTCAATACTGGTTAGAATGTAAAAGAACTAGATTACGCATATATTTTTCTTGGTAATATAAAAGGGCACCCATACATTGCAAATTATTTTGACAGTTTCTTATAAACTAAATATGCAATTTCCATATTATCCAAAAAATGAAAATTATATTTATACAAAAACTTGTACAAAATGTTTATATCAGCTTTACTGTTAGTAGTACTGAGTTAACAAATCAGATATTTTTCAATGGATAAATGGTTAAATAATCTGTGGCACATGGGTTATTACTCAACAATACAGAGAAATAATCTATTGATGCATGCAACAACTTGATGGATTTCAAATGAATTAGGCTGAATTAAACAATAAAATCCCCCAGGGTTATATACTGCATAATTATATGATATTTTTAAAATGGTAAACTTATAAGCATGAAGAAATAATTTCAGTGTCAATATTCTGGTTGTGTTATTTGACTCTATGTAAAATGTTACAAATGAGGAAAACTGGCTGAAAAGTGTACAAGATCTCTCTGTATTATTATTATCATATTTTAAGTTCTGGGATGCATGTGCAGAATGTGCAGGTTTGTTACATAGGTATGCACATGTCATGGTGGTTTGCTGCACCCATCAACCCATCATCTACATTAGGTATTTCTCCTAGTGCTATCTGTCCCCTAGCCACCCATTCCCCAACAGGCCCCAGTGTGTGATGTTCTCCTCCCTGTTTCCATGCATTCTCATTGTTCAGCTCCCACTTATGAGTGAGAACATGCAGTGTTTGGTTTTCTGTTCTTGCGTTAGGTTGCTGAGAATGATGGCTTCCAACTTCATCCATGTCCCTGCAAAGGACATGAACTCATCCTTTTTCATGGCTGCATTGTATTCCATGGTGTATATGTGCCACATTTTCTTTATCTAGTCTAGCATTGATGGGCATTTGGGCTGGTTCCAAGTCTTTGCTATCATGAACAGTGCTGCAATAAACATACGTGTGCATGTGCCTTTATAGTAGGATGATTTATAATCCTTTGGGCATATACCCCGTAATGGGATTGCTGGGCAAATTGTATTTCTGGTTCTAAATCTTTGAGGAATCACCACACTGTCTTTCACAATGGTTGAACTAATTTACACTCCCACCAGCAGTGTAAAAGCATTCCTATTTCTCCACATCCTCTCCTCTGTTAAGATTTTCACTGTGAAGTAATTGTAAATTCACATGCAGTTTTTTCTTGACTTTTTAATGATCGCCATTCTAACTGGCATGAGATAGTATCTCACTGTGGTTTTGATTTGCATGTCTCTAATGACCAGTGATGATGAGCTTTTTTTCATATGTTTGTTGGCCACATAAACGTCTTCTTTTGAGAAGTGTCTGTTCATAGCCTTCGCCCACTCTTTGATGGGGTTGTTTATTTTTTTCTTGTACATTTGTTTTTTTTGTAGATTCTGGATATTTGCCCTTTCTCAGATAGATCGATTGCAAACATTTTTCTCCCCATCTGTAGGTTGCCTGTTCACTCCGATGATAGTTTCTTTTGCTGTGGAGAATCTCTTTAGTTTAACTAGATCCCATTTGTCAATTTTGGCTTCTGTTGCCATTGCGTTTGGTGTTTTAGTCATGAAGTCTTTACCTATGCCTATGTCCTGAATGGTATTGCCTAGGTTTTCTTCCAGTGTTTTTATGATTTTGGGTCTTACATTTAAGTCTTTAATCCAGCTTGAGTTAATTTTGTATAACGTGTAAGGAAGGGATCCAGTTTCAGTTTTCTGCATATGGCTAGCCAATTTTCTCAACATTCCATGCTCATGGACAGGGAGAAGCAACATCGTGAAAATGGCCATACTGCCCAAAGTAATTTATAGATTCAATGCTATCCCCATCAAGCTGCCATTGCCTTTCTTCACAGAATTAGAAAAAAACTACTTTAAATTTCACATGGAACAAAAAAAATGCCCATATAGCCAAGACAATCCTAAGCAAAAAGAACAAAGCTGGGAGCATCATACTACCTGACTTCAAACTATACTACAAGGCTACAGTAACCAAAACAGCATGGTACTGGTACCACAACAGATATATAGACCAATGGACCAGAACAGAGGCCTCAGAAATAATACCATACATCTACAACCATCTAATCTTTGATAAACCTGACAAAAACAAGCAATGGGGAAAGGACTCCCTATTTAATAAATGGTGTTGTACTATTTCTTTTAAACTGGATGTGAATTTATAACTACTCCAAAGTGAAAATTTTAATTAAAAATACTATGTGCAAGGGGAAAGCCATACAAAATGTAAGTGTGAATAGAATATATGATGTAATGACTGTGAAGTAGATTTAGTAAAAGATAGATTATTGGAGGAAAGCAGCTTTAGAACAAACCCAAAATAAAAATTAACAAGTGCAGATAAATTCTGAGGAGATATATAAGTTAAAAGACAAGGTTGAAGTAATGGACACGGAACTGTGTAACCCACAATGTACAAAGAAGACATGAGTTTCTCTTCTAATAATTTTCAGAGTAACCAAAGTTAATTAATGGAGGTTTCTGAAAACTACATACAGTGGGTAACAGTGAAATGCCAATCTAAATCATAATAACTTATTAAACTGAATGACTTGAAGAAAATTACATTTGAGTCAGTTTATACTAGCTGTATTCAAAATATCAGCTTATGTACCTGGCATGACGTTCTGGATAAGGTATAATAAACATTTTCAACTAGTTGATCCTCCTTTGTGTTTACTCTGTTTTATTTGCTTTATTTTCTAAAAGAAATAAAATCACGTGTATATTCTCAGGTACCTATTTGCAAATCTGAGACTTATATTAAAGCTTCTTAAGGTTTAAATGATAAAATTTTCATTTGACTTTCAAAATAATAGTCCATAAATATATACACCAGCTGTGTACCCACAAAAATCAAAATTAAAAATATATATTTAAAGGAGGAATTTTAAATTATATTTATTCTTATTTTTATTCTTTTTAAATTTTTTTTTTAATTTATACTAGAGGTGGGGTCTCACTGTATTACCCAGGCTGGTCTCAAACTCCTGGACGCAAGTGATCATCCTGCTTCAGCCTCCCAAATTGCTGGGATTACAGACATGAGCCACTGGGCCCAGCTATATTTCTTTTCTAAAAAATATCATAAACCTTAAAAAGAATTCTGGGTAAAGCAAAGTCAAATATCTATCTCTTTTTATCATTTAAGTGCTCCAATTAGAATTAAAAATACTTTATTAAATGATATAAAGTAAATTAAGGCCTAGATTTTACCAACTATGAAGAATAAATGCATATCAACTTAGTTTCATCAGAAATATTTGTCAGCAATGATGAATTCTCATGCTTATCTTTTTATATATTAATGCAATTTTCATGTGATCAAAAAGCATAATCAAAAACTGAAGCAAAACTTCATAGAAATTTCATTGTATTCTTCACTCTTATTTGTCACAATTTTTTTCGCTAAAATAAATATTTATTGTAAATATGTGTGTGTATTATTATTATTATTAAATTGTGGATGTACCTAGTAACAGTTCTAAGTAGATCATTATTTACTGAGTCAAAAATGACCAAAGTTAATGTACCAATATTGCAATCTCTCTCACTGGATGGGTTGTGCTTGTAATGAGCCCTAACTGAATTTTATTCATCTTTTGGGGGTTTGAAATTTCCAAATGAAAAATAATTACAAGATTTTGTGTTATTTTAACCCTTTTTCATTATTGTTGCTAATTAAGAAGGCTATATATATATATATATTTTTTTAAATCATCTGGACTTGAACAATCATTTATCTGTCAGATTATTTTTAGTTTGCAATAAAAAAGGAAAAGAAAGAAATTACATGTTTCAAATTCTGTGGGTATATGCAAAAACAGAAACATTTAGGCTGTATCCAAAGCAATTGCAACAAAGACAAAAATGGACAGTTGGAACCTAATTAAACCGAAGAGCTTCTGCACAACAAATAAACTATCAACAGAGTAAACAGACAACCTACAGAATGGGAGAAAATTCAAAAACTGTGCATCCAACAAAGGTCTAATATCCAGAATCTATAAAAAACTTAAAGAGTTGAATGAGCAAAATCAAATAACTCCATTAAAAATGGGCAACAGACATGAACAGATACTTCTCAAAAGAAGACATACAAGTAGCCAACAAACATGAAAAATACTTAATATCATTAATCATCAGAGAGATGTAATCCAAAACCACAATGAGATACCATCTCACACAAATCAGAATGGCTACTATTAAAAAGTCAAAAAACAGCAGATGTTGATGATGTTGGTGAGGCTGTGAAGAAAAGCGAACGCTTACATACTGTTGGTGGGAATGTAAATTAATTCACCTACTGTGAAAAGCAATTTGCAGATTTCCCCAAGAACATAAAACACAACTATGATTTGACCGAGCAATCCCAAAACTGGGTAAATATCCAAAAGAAAATAAGTCATTCTATCAAAAAAAGAAAACACATGCATTCTTATGTTCATCACAGCACTATTCACAGTAACAAAGACATTGAGTCAAACTAGGTATCTATGAATGGTGGATTGGAATTTTTTTTTAATGTGGTATGTTTAGACCATGGAATATTATGCAGCCATAGAAATGAAATCACATCAGCTGCAGCAACATGAATGCAGCTGGAGGCCATAATCCTGAGCAAATTAATGCAGTAACAGAAAATCAAATACAGCATATTATCACTTATAAGAGGGAGCTGAACTTTGGGTACTCATGCACAAAAAGGTGGCAGCAATAGACACTGCAGACTACTAGAGTGGGAAGAGAGGAAGGAGGCAAGCTTTGAAAAACAATCTGTTGGGTACTATACTTAGTACCTGGGTGATAGGATCTATTGTACCACCAACCTCAGCATCATGTAATATTCCCAGGTAATAAACCTACACATGTACCCCCTGAATCTAAAATGAAAGTTTGAAATTATTAAAAAAAAAAAACTTAGCTTGTTATAATGTCCTGAAACTATATTATACCACTTTTATAATTATGCCTATATTATCAAAAATTCACAGAGATGTGCGTTCAAGTATATTTTAGATTGCTCAGTAAATTATATTTCCAAATCATCTATCCCTACAAAACGTAGGAGTATTTTTGATCAAAAATTACATCCAATAGGAAGTAGAAATTAATTTTTATTTGATTTGATTTAGCAGCATAAAGCATCTTGACAATTTAGATTGCTTCTTCTACTGGAATGTTAAAGAAAATACAGGAATGCCTACCATAAAGTCTACTTTGCATATATCAAATATATTTTTTAAAAATCTCTTAATGCTTATAACATTCTTCTATAGAGGGAAAGAGAGATTGTTTTTCCTTTCCTAACATATGAAACATAGTTAAATAGGCATTATGAGTTCTGTCTAGACATCGAAAAAAGAAAGTGGCAGAACTCCTAGAGCTAAGATTTGCATTCACCTTAAGTCTTACTGAAAAGTGCAAACAAATTGTACAACAACTACATTTAATACTTGAGTTAAATTTCCAGATATAAGTCAAATATTTATCAATTTTAGCAGAATATGAACCAGGGTAAATTATCCTTGTTACACATCTGTTTACAGTCTAATATATGACTGAAACAATTTTCTAAGCTTTGTTTTAAATGTAATTATTTCAGAAATAAATGGTGCTATCATTTTCCAAAAACATACTCCATGTTCCAAGTGAGATGTATTCCATACCTACATCTCTATTGAATTAAATGAGTAAATGAAGGGAAAAAACAGTTAGGAATGGTTAGGTTTAATATACTCCTTATTTAACTTGAATGTAATAATATAAATGTCATAAGCATTGAGTCTGGTTACATAGCAAAGTAATTAGGAGCAGGGACTTATTGGCTCTGATCCTTCATTCAAATTACTTAAATTATCTGTACTTAAGTATTCATCATCTATAAAATTGGAGTCAAATAAGAATAAGAATAACATTGCAGGATTGCCATGAAGATTAAATGAGCATCGGCACCAAAGGTTTGTTAACCCAGTGCCTCTCAGATACTAACTATGGTATAAATCTTAGTTTTAATAATTTATTTTTTAAAAAATAATTTTACATATTTAAAATTAAAGAAACTCTTGAATTATTAAATAATATTTTTTCACACTGGGGCTATTAAGGCTAACATTTTTATTGTGACTAAATTTGTATTACACTTCTGAACAAATGTATATTACTATAAGACATTGGGTGTGATGCATGATATTATGTCAACTTGACATGGCCTTAGGATGTAGACATCTGATTAAACATTACTTCTGGATGTGTCTGTGAGGGTGCTTCTGGAAGAGGTAAGCATTTTAATTGGTTAACTGAGTCAAGCAGATGGCTTTCCCCATTGCATGTGGGCATCATCCAATCCTTTGAGAGTCTGAATAAAACAAAAAGGCAAAAGTGAAAGAAGGTTGGATCCTTCCTTCTTCTGCCACAATGCTTGAGCTGGAATGACAATCTTCTTCTGTCCTGGGAACTACTGGTTCTTAAGCCTTCACACTTTAGACTAAGACCTAAACCATCAGCTCTTAAACTCTAAGGCCTTTTAACTAAACTACAGGCTTCTCTTGAGTCTCTGGCTTGCAGATGACATAGCATGAGAATTTTCATCCTCCATAATTATGTGAAACAATGTCTTACAACAAATCTAATTTACTTATCTATCTAGCTAGCTATGCTACTGATTCAATTTTTCTGAAAAACCCTGAAAAATGCAGATTTTGGTACTGGGAGTATTCTAGAGGAAAAAAAAATTCTAAACATGCGTTTCTGTGTTGATCTAGAGTTTCTGGAATTGGCTTCCTAATCTGATATAACTTAGATATTCCAGTGACTCTATTTCCAGTAGTAGAGAAAGCACTGATAGTCCACAGCATAAATTGGTAATAGAGACATACAAAATATTTGTATTGGATACTCTTGATTAACCACTTATAAGAAACAAGAAGCTTGATAACTATGTTTATAATACTTTTGAATATTTACAGAAAGCTGAGAAATATGATAAAGTCAGTTAGTTGCTCAAATGTCACTGGTTTAATGTGGTTAAATATATTTATGTATGTATATATGTATATATTTATATATTATATATGTTTATAGGTATATATTTATATGTACTATATATATGTTTATAGGCATATATTTATATATGCATATAGGTATATATTTATATATAATATATATCCACATGTATATATGTATATCTACAAAATGATATATATTAAATATATATCAGGGATTTGAATATATATTTATATTTAATATATCACATATATGATATACTAATATATATAATATATATCAAATCCCTGAAATATACATAAATATATTATGTATATTAAGCATATCTATATTTATATATACCACCTCATGTGCTGCATACATGACTTGAAGGTTTCTATGTGTGTCTTGAAAGAAACTTTTATCTTCTATAGCCACAGAGCTGATGTTGCTGAAAATCAAACTCAGAATCTCATCCTGCAATTGTCTGAATTACAATTCAAGTTGAACTCCCAACCAGCTTCACAGGGTGTCTATTGTAAAAGTAGAAAAAAAAATTAGGGAAAAAAATGGCATCTTGTAAGTTGGAATGGGGACATGTGGAATGGCTGATTATACTGGGGAAACTGAGCTTCTAAATTCCGATGTTAGTTTTGTCAGTGGAACAGTTCTTCCTAACCTCAGCATAAGTGGCCTCCCTACTCCAAGCCAAAGCAGTATCTCCACTCCAAGTGGCAACATCATCCACACCCCCAGCGGTATCAGCCTTTCCAGCCCTGCGTGAGTGGATTAACTCTGCATTACCTGAAAAAAAACAGTAATTACCTCCCCTGAGACAATTGCCACCCCAGAAAATGTTGCTTCTCTTCATGATCCATCTATTTTACCCTTATTTGCTTATAGACCTGTAACTGGACTCAGGTACCACCAGGCCACTAATGATGAGGTACAAAGTGTGACCAATGAGGAGGTGTGCACTTCCAGAAACTACTTGACTTTTCTAATTAATACAGACATAAATCAGGAAATATGTGTGGAAATAAATATGGAGGTTACGGGATAATGGTGGAAGTGACATAAAATTGGATTAAGCCAAATTTATTAATATAGGCTCACTTAACAGAGATTCTGCATTTAATGTTGCAGTTCAGGGAGTTAAAAATTACTCTAGCAGTTTTTTTAATGATTGGCTGAGATAGGAACCAAAATATTGACCACTTTGAGTGAACCAAAAATGCCTACCTCCTTTGGTGTAATGTAGAGGAAGGGATTAAGAGGCTTAGAGAAAATTGAATGTTAAGAGTGGATTTTTCATTTAGTACTTACTCACCCACACTGGGACAGCCCAGAAGTTATACCTTTCACCACCACTTTGAGAAATAAATTTTTGGGGAAACTCCACTATCTATGAAGGGCTCTGTGATCGCTTTTCTCTGCGGGATAGACCTTACAATGGAAACTACAGCAATTCGATTAGAAAAACTAAATGCAATGGGAGTAAATGTATTCCAGAGGCACAAGGGTGAAGTGTTGGCACTCAACCACCAAAGGCAGGGTTGTCATGGTAACCCTAATGGACAGCAAAGTAAAAGCAGCAATCAGAATAGTCTGACTGATGTATACCTATGACATTGGCTAGTCAATCATGACATTTGAAAAGTGAAATAGATAGGAAGCCTACTATCTTCTTACCTGATTTATATAAGAAGGAAAGTTCTAGGTTAAGTGAACAAAAATCTAACTTGAATCATTAAAGTATAGACTCATAGCCCCTCAATCAGTTTCCAGAATTGGGCCAGTTTACAGACCCAGAACCCCTTATATAATTAAAAGGTTATATCTTCTCCAGGAAGGACCCTGATACACTATAATTTATGTTGTCAATATTTCTCTAAGCCTTTCCTATCGGGATTCAATATTTCAGCAGCACAGATCAACATTGAGTTCTCAATATACTTCCATTTCCCAGAGTGATCAGCCAATGGTACCTAGTGACATGTTGATTACATTAGGCCACCTCAGTCATGGAAAGGGAAATATTTTGTTTATATTGGAGTAGGCATTTACTACAGTTTTTAATTTGCCTTTCCTGCATGCAGTGCTTTTGTCTAAACTACAATCTGTGGGCTTATAGAATGCTTGATCCACCATTATATTCCACACAGCATTGCCTCTTACCAAGAAACTCACTTCATAGCAAACGAAGAGTGGCAATAGGCCCATGTTATCCACCATCCTGAAGCAGCTAGCTTGATAAAATAGATAAGTGGCCTTTTGAAGACACAATTACAGTACCAGCTGGGTGTCAGGACTTTGCAGGGCTGGGGCAAGGTTTTCCAGAAGGCTTTATATGTGCTCTGTCAGTTGGTAACATTTGGTGCTATTTGTCCCATAGCCAGAATTCACAGGTCCAGGAATCAAGGTGTGAAAATGAGAGTGGCAGCACTCACCATTATCCCCTGTGACCCACTAGCAAAAATGTTGCTTCCTGTTACTGCCTTATTATACTCTGCTGGCCCAGAGGACGTAGTTCCAAAGGGAGGAAACTTTCTACCAGGAGACACAATAATCATTTCATTAGAATGAAAGTTAAGACTGTCACTCAGCCACTTATGACTACTCATGCCTCTGAATCAACAGGGAAAGAAAGTTACTGTGCTGGGTGAGGTAATTGATTTTGATTACCAAAGCAAAATTTGACTACTACTCCACAATGGGGATAATAAAGAGTATGCCTGAAATACAGAAAATCCCTTAGGGTGTCTTAATGTTACCATACCCTATGATGAAGATCCATATAATGTTTGAACAACCTAATCCAGGCAGGACTGCTCATAATGCAGACCTGTCAGGAAGGAAGGTTTGGTTAACCTCACCAGGTAAACAACCATGACCAGCTGATGTACTTGCTGAAGGCAAAGGAAATACACAATGGGTAGTGGAAGAAAGTAGTTATAAATAACAGATATGACCATGGGGCCAGTTAGAGAATTGAGGGGTTTAATCGTCATGAGTATTTTCTTAGGTTTTTAAGAATGCATTTGTGTGTGTGTATGTTCATGTGCATATACACAGCAAATATATTTGTTTTCTTCCCTCTCTTTTGTCTTATCAAGTAACATAAGATGAATAGACTTTATGTAAAAGTTTCCTAGTGTTGTTAATCTTATATCATAGCATTTAAGCTAAGGAATATCAGGAAAAGTAAACATCACTCAAAGATTTTACCTCCTCTTCTGGGGAAGAGGTTAGTGCATTTTTCAATGTATTCAGGATAATTGCATTATGTTAGGCAGAATTATGATATTGCTATTGTCTTTATTTGAGATGGATATGGGTACCAAGTTGACAAGGGGTAGACTTCTGATAGTTAATTTTATGTGTCAACTTGACATGGCCATGAATGTTCAGATATGTGGTTAAAAACTATTTTTGTGTTTATAAGATTGTTTCTGGAAAGTGATTAGCATTTGAATTGATGAACTAAATGAAATATAAGGCCCTTCCAAATATGTGTGGGCATCATCCAATCCATTGAGCACCTGAATAGAACAAAAAAGCGGAGGAAGCTTGGATTATCCTTCCCTCTGCCAGACTGCTTGAGCTAGGACATCAATCTGCCACCTTCGGTGCTACTGGTTCCTAAGCCTTCAGATTAGTCCTGGAATCTACATCATTGGCACTCCAGCTCTCAGGCCTTTGAGCTATGCCACTGGCTTTCCTGGGTCTAAAGCTTGCAAACAGCATATCACGAGATTCCTCAGCCTCTATAATTGTGTGAGATAGTACCTTATAACAAATCCCTCTCTATTGGTTCTGTTTCTCTGAAGAACACTGATGAATACTCTGTGCTTTGAGATTTCAAGGTATTTCTTTCAACATATTTGCTAGGAGACAAAGAACTTTAACTGATTATGAGCCTTTTGTGGTGGCACTTAATCTCCTTCTCTACTGTTACTATTTTGAATAAGATCATTGCTTTAACAAGACTGTTTCTACCTCCTGAAATAATTATAGGATGTATGTATACTCAAATATTTTAGGGTAAAGAAAAAATTGCCCACTATAGCATATTGCTTTTCATGATATAAAATCAATCTCTCTCTCTCTCTGTTCCTTCCAAAGCATCTCTCAATGTTTCAGGGTGTTTTCCTTTTACAGGAAAAGAAAGGGGTTTCTTATGACAAACTATCACACCTACCATATTTCTATTATGTAAACAATCATGCCATCAGAATCTAGCTTTCTGTTTTTTAATCTGAATAGTGGTACAAAAAAGTTACATTGCTATTATAGTCATATTAATTATCCCCCTTTTAAAATAAAATGTATACATATTTTTCAAAATGTCTTGTGCCCCATAGTTCAGACTTTAATGTTCCACTTTTCAAATAGTTTTTCAGCTCACCTGTCTTCTAGACATCCATATACAAATTCACCTTAGTGTGACTTTTTCATGTTCTTTCACAGAAGTTTAGTTCCATTTTGTTTCAGTTCTATTGTTTTGTCTTCCACATTCTTTGCTCATCTTTATCCTATATTGTTTTACCACTCTCTATTGTACTCATACATTTTACAGTGTATGTTTCCAACTAAACTCTGCTCCTTAAGCTCAAAGGAGAATACTTGTTCATCAATTTCTCTAGTTCTTCATAACACACATTTTGATAATTTCATCAAAGATAAATTGTCAAGTTTGAAAGTAAAACTTATAGGAGAACATATATTTTCCCATATAGATATGCCAACCGTTACACTAATACTCAAAATTCCAAAATATGAACAAAAGCACAATTTGCAATGTCATTTTCTAATTGCGTGAGCCCAGAGGGGAAGAATGGAAGGGTCCTGAAGTAAAGAGGAACATTGAAAGTTTCATTTTATTGCCTCATGTATTTGCCAAAATGTCAGGTTTTCTAAGTTAAAATGGTATATTTGATAAAAGCACTTTCTAACTATAAAATTTAATTAACAAATATTTAAGATGTCCCCTAATAAAAACCTGGCACTTCATAGGTAGACCTATCAAACATAACAGCTACACAGTGTAAAGAAATGTCCACGCAACAAAACCTCTCCACTTAGTTGGAAGTCATTGATAAAAAAAGAGTGATATCAGAGCTTGACCTTATGTTACCAATAGTTTAACCAAAACACTGAAAAAAAAAACATTATTGTTATAGTTGTCTAGTAACAGTCTCACAAAGAAAAACTGCTTAATCTCCATTGAATTACTTGGAAAATCTCCACAAATTGGGCAAATTCCAACAAAATTTGAGGTATAAAATTAGTTTATTTCAGAAGTCATTTTTCATTGTAGGATGAAGAAATGCACTTAAAATGTGTTTAGAATATATTCATCACAGTTAAACTTTTATTTTTTTAATGTGGAGGATTGAGAGAGAAAGAGAGAGAGAGAAAGGATATATATATAAGATTTATATATAATATGTATTTATTCAAAGCTCAAGGGGGAGTCAGAATAATTCTGACACATAGTTCAAACTTGAAGTCATATGCTGAAGTATAATATATATTCATATATAAAATATATAGAGAGAGGTATATTTATACCTCTCTATATATGTATATTCCAGCCTCCAGTTGGAGCTACACAGAAAGAGAGCTTGGGTGCCTCCAGCTCTATATATAACTCAATGTATTGGAGACTGGAAGTCCAAGAGTATTATAGTGGCATCTGGTTAGAGGTCATAGGGTCATCTTCTGGTCAGAGATGGAAGGCAGAAGTGAGCATGTGAGAAAATGAAAAAAAATGGGGCAAACTTATCTTTGTATTAGAAGTCCATTCCCATGATAACAGCATTAATCCATTCATGAGAGCAGAACCCTCATAACCTAATCACTTATTAAAGGCTCAACCTCTTAATACCATTACAATGAGGATGAAATTTCCAACACATAAAATTTGGGGGTCACATTCAAACCATAGCATTCCACCCCTGTCATCGAAAATTTTCATTCTTCTCACATTGCAAAATAAATGTAGTTCATATCAATAATTCCAAAAGTTTTAACTCATTCCACCATTAACTCAGAAGTCAAAAGTTAAGAGTCTTATCTAAATTAGAAATGGGTGATACTCAAAACATGATTAATCCCAAGCCAAAATCTTCCACCTGTGAGCCTGTGAAATCAAAACTCGTTATTTCTTTTCAAAATACAATGTTGGAACAGGCATGAAATAGACATTCCTTATATAAAAGGGGGGAATAGACAAGAAAAATGGATAACTGGTACCAAGAAATTCTAAAACCAAACAGAAGAAATCACATTAAGTCTTAAAGCTGGAGAATAATCTCTGTGGACTACATGTTCTGCTTCCTGCATACACTGGAGTAGAGGTTGGGCTCCCAAGACTTCAAGCAGCCCTCCCTCCTTTGCTTTGATGAGCTCAGCCTATGCTTCATTTCTTTCAAGTTGGAGTCTCATGCCTGCAGCTTTTCCAGGATGGAGCTGCACGCTGGTGACCTTACAGTTCTGTGGTCTTGGGAGTAGCCCCACTTCTACTGCTTCATTAGGTAATGCCCTGGTGGAGACTGTGGTGACTCTACTGCTGTAGCAGGAGTCTGTCTTGGACCTCTGGCTATCCTGTACATCCTTTAAATTCTAGGGGGAGGTAACTATATCCCCACAGCTCTTACATTCTGCAAGCCTGCAGACTTAATGCAATATGGATGCTATCAATGATTAAAGCCTGTATCTTACCAAGCAGCAGCCAGCGTGGCCCCAGTGCTCTCTTGAGCTGCAGGTAGAGAAGTTGAAGAGTACTCAGTGGCATGCAGGGATCAGAGACCTGAGGCAGATCTGGGTAGTGAGTTCCGGGAAGGTGCCCCAGGCCTTCAATGGTCTGAAGGTCCTCCCAAACTATTCTTCTCTCCTAGAGCTCTGGGTCTATGCTGGGAAGGACAGTTTTGAAGATATTTAAAATGCTTCTGGGATCTTTCTCCCATTGTCTTGATAAATACTACATGGCTCCTTTCTATTTATTTGTTTTTTTGTTTGTTTGTTTTGTTTTGTTTTTTGAGACGGAGTCTCCCTCTGTCGTCCAGGCTGGAGTGCAGCGACACAATCTCAGTTCACTGCAAGCTCCGCCTCCCGGGTTCACGCCCTTCTCCTACCTCAGCCTCCCGAGTAGCTGGGACTACAGGCACCCACTACCAGGCCTGGCTAATTTTTTGTATTTTTAGTAGAGATGGGGTTTCACCGTGTTAGCCAGGATGGTCTCGATGTCCTGACCTCGTGATCCGCCCGCCTTGGCCTCCCAAAGTGCTGGGATTACAGGCGTGAGCCACAGCGCCGGGCCGGCTCTTTTCTATTTATTATAATCTCTTTAGCAAATGGTTGCTTGGCTGCACACTTACTATTCACTCCTGAATAGGTTTACTCATTCTTTGCATTGGCAAGCTGCAAAATGTCCACATATTTTCATTTTGTTTCCCTTTTAATTATAAATTTTATTTTTAACTCATTTTTTTAGATCTCACTGTATATGATTAAAAGTAACGATGAAGCAGCCTAAATTGTTGCTGTTTAGATATTTCTTCTGCCAGATATCCTAGTTCATCAATCTTAAGGTCTACCTTTCATAAAGTTCTCAAGCATGGACACAATTCAGCCAAGGTCATTTCTACCGAATAACAGGGATGACCTTTATTCTAATTTCCAACACTTTGTTCCTCCTTTACATTTGAGACTTGATTAGAATTGCCTTTACCATCTATATTTCTACTTACATTCTGGTCACAACCACTCAAGTAATTCTGAAGTAGATTTCGGCTTTCACTAGTTCTGGGCTTCTCTTGTGAGCCCACCCCAGAATCACCCTTAATGCTCTGTTCATTGCAATACAAGCTTTTCCTAGCCTGCTCCTCAAAATTCTTTCAGCCTCTACCCATTACCCAGCTTCAAAGCCACTTCCACTTTTTCAGGTATTTGATGTAGCAACAGTCCCACTTCCTGGTACCAATTCTCTGTCTTAGTCCATTTTCTGCTTCTATATTAGAATCTCACATACTGGTGATCTGTAAAAAATAGAAGTTTATTTGGTCCATGGTTTTGGAGACCAGAAATTCCAAAGGCATGGGCTGCAGTCCAATGAGGGTCATCCCATGGTGGAAGATAGAATGCAGAGTTGAATGTGCAAGACAGAAATAAATTTATCCTTTCATTAGGAGCCCACTCCCATGATAAGTAACCCACTCCTAAAATAGCAACATTAGTCCATTTATAAGAGCAGATCCCTCATGACTTAATTACCTCTTAAAGGCCCAACTTCTTAATACTGTTACAATGGGGATTAAGTTTGCAACACATGACATTTGGGGTACGCATTCAAACCATAGAATGCATTTAGATCAATGACAGAGAGAGAGAGAGAGATAGAATGTTTCCCATTAGAATGCTTTTTTATCTGTGCTTTTCCAGATCATTTTAGTTTTACACTAATTAAGTGGTATGCAAATAGGAGTTAGAGTAAAGCATAATTGTTAAACACTGCCAAATCTATGCTCATTTTAAGGTTTTATAATTCAAATTATATTATTAACAATTCTTAAAAATTTTGCTATCGATAAATTTACCATTTTCTGTCTCGGCAGTTAAAACTTAGCCACAGCAGGTGATTTTTACATAACGCTTATTATAAAATTTTCATAGAATATATACTGAAAATCATCATCTAGCAATTTATGAAATACTAAACTTTATAACATTGTAAATTATAGTAAGTCCTCCAGGCAATGGAAAATTTTCATAAACTCTTCAGAGCCCAGGGAACCAGGACCAGAGATCCTGAGACTAATGTTGAAATAAAAAGGTGAGGATATCAATTAGGTTAATAAGAAGAGGATACAAAGGAGAGACAGTGGGATATAGGAGAAATAAGACAATAAAAAGAAGTGATGCTTTATAAAGGTAGAGGCAATCAATGCTCTTGTGATGATAACTGTGGCCAAATTTTTCTTTCAATTCATTTTTGGGGAGTGTGGTTCTCTCTGCCATAAGCAGAAGTAACCTTGGGAAATTATTTCTAAAGAGTTTTCTTTGTTTTGGCTCTCCTCAAAGTATCTCAGAAAAGAATTGGTTTGTAAGTAGTTTCAGACTAGGTGATCCAAAAAGACACGCTGAATAAATGGGGATTGGAGGTTCAGGAGGCAGAAAGCTTATAAAGAGTAGGATAAATAGTGTGTTACCAATCTGAGACACTCAATTCTTCTGGAGACACAGTGAGAAACAATGTTGAACATGCCTCATAATCATACTACAAAAGCTGTTTATCCACCAACTCCCCTCTCTTATTTAGAGTCATTAAGCCCATGGCACTTCTGTAGTCTAAAAACATACTTCCTTTAGCTCATTTCTACCCATTTATTATTCCATAGATGTAAAAATTAACCACTAAATATTCTCACCAGTTTTCTTATATATGAAAATCAATATGAGTTAGTAACTCTGGCGTTATCTTTTATAATAAATAAAAATGGTTTGTTAAATATATTTTAATTTTTTCTAAAAATGTTTTTATTTTTCACTGGACTATTAACTTTACACTTACGTACAAATGCAAATTGTGAACACCTTTTATTAGAGGTCAAAGACCACTGCTCAAAACCCTTTGCTGAATGCTTTCTTTATTATTTTATTTTATTTTATTTTATTTTTTTTCAACCATGATTTTTGTATTCTTTTGAAATAGTGCCAATGCCAAGAAAAACTTGTTGCCTCAATAAAACAGCAAAAAACATCTTCTATTCAAATTGGATGAAAGCACAAAGAAAATCTGTCCAGCTGAAATGTCCTTTGCAGCTATCTTGCTATAGAAGTTTTCCTAACTTAAATTGTTCCCTAACATGCCAATATGAGCCCTATTTTTTGCCTTCACTGTATTTCAGTGTATTTATCTGCCCAGAGGTACTGCTTTATAAAATATATGTTCCCTTACTATTATTAAATTAGAATAGGAAGGAGCAATTTTTTATCTTCTTGTACCGATACCTCCCTGGGAACGCAGGAATAGGTGGAGAACCCAAATTTCTTACAGTGTGAAGCTGGGGAAGAACAAAGTTGATGCCTTTGTGGGGTGTCCTCTGTTCTCAGTGATTTTTCATAGTCAAAGATGTTTGGGTCAAAGTAAAGAGATTATTGCCCTGATACTACATGAAATTAAACTTCTCAAGCATTTCACACTGGGTATGAATCAACTGATCAAATATCCTAAGTAGAAAGTTTCACTGAATAACAGAGAATTTAAAGAGCATGGTGGTGTAACTGAAGTAAAAGAGTTGTTCCTACAAGACAATGCATTTGATGTACGCTCAGAGACTAAAGTCTGTCACTTCTCTTTATTTCACCTCAAGTTGGCTAATATTTGGGACATAAGAAAATAACAATGTTTCATTTAATGAGGAGCTTCTGAAAGTTGTTTCTAAGGTTCTGCTTTTGTCAATACAGACAGCTCTTCTCACCTCTCCACACTCCAGCCCTGCTTTCCTTATTCCTATATTTTCTGTTGTTGGTGTATCACAGTTTTTTTATTTTTTTTATTTTTTTATTTTTTTTAATTTTTTTTTTTTTATTATACTCTAAGTTTTAGGGTACATGTGCACATTGTGCAGGTTAGTTACATATGTATACATGTGCCATGCTGGTGCGCTGCACCCACTAACGTGTCATCTAGCATTAGGTATATCTCCCAATGCTATCCCTCCCCCCTCCCCCGACCCCACCACAGTCCCCAGAGTGTGATATTCCCCTTCCTGTGTCCATGTGATCTCATTGTTCAATTCCCACCTATGAGTGAGAATATGCGGTGTTTGGTTTTTTGTTCTTGCGATAGTTTACTGAGAATGATGGTTTCCAATTTCATCCATGTCCCTACAAAGGACATGAACTCATCATTTTTTATGGCTGCATAGTATTCCATGGTGTATATGTGCCACATTTTCTTAATCCAGTCTATCATTGTTGGACATTTGGGTTGGTTCCAAGTCTTTGCTATTGTGAATAGTGCCACAATAAACATACGTGTGCATGTGTCTTTATAGCAGCATGATTTATAGTCCTTTGGGTATATACCTAGTAATGGGATGGCTGGGTCAAATGGTATTTCTAGTTCTAGATCCCTGAGGAATCGCCACACTGACTTCCACAATGGTTGAACTAGTTTACAGTCCCACCAACAGTGTAAAAGTGTTCCTATTTCTCCACATCCTCTCCAGCACCTGTTGTTTCCTGACTTTTTAATGATTGCCATTCTAACTGGTGTGAGATGATATCTCATAGTGGTTTTGATTTGCATTCTCTGATGGCCAGTGATGATGAGCATTTCTTCATGTGTTTTTTGGCTGCATAAATGTCTTCTTTTGAGAAGTGTCTGTTCATGTCCTTCGCCCACTTTTTGATGGGGTTGTTTGTTTTTTTCTTGTAAATTTGTTTGAGTTCATTGTAGATTCTGGATATTAGCCCTTTGTCAGATGAGTAGGTTGCGAAAATTTTCTCCCATGTTGTAGGTTGCCTGTTCACTCTGAGGGTAGTTTCTTTTGCTGTGCAGAAGCTCTTGAGTTTAATTAGATCCCATTTGTCAATTTTGGCTTTTGTTGCCATTGCTTTTGGTGTTTTGGACATGAAGTCCTTGCCCACGCCTATGTCCTGAATGGTAATGCCTAGGTTTTCTTCTAGGGTTTTTATGGTTTTAGGTCTAACGTTTAAATCTTTAATCCATCTTGAATTGATTTTTGTATAAGGTGTAAGGAAGGGATCCAGTTTCAGCTTTCTACATATGGCTAGCCAGTTTTCCCAGCACCATTTATTAAATAGGGAATCCTTTCCCCATTGCTTGTTTTTCTCAGGTTTGTCAAAGATCAGATAGTTGTATTATTTCTGAGGGCTCTGTTCTGTTCCATTGATCTATATCTGTTTTGGTACCAGTACCATGCTGTTTTGGTTACTGTAGCCTTGTAGTATAGTTTGAAGTCAGGTAGTGTGATGCCTCCAGCTTTGTTCTTTTGGCTTAGGATTGACTTGGCGATGCGGGCTCTTTTTTGGTTCCATATGAACTTTAAAGTAGTTTTTTCCAATTCTGTGAAGAAAGTCATTGGTAGCTTGATGGGGATGGCATTGAATCTGTAAATTACCTTGGGCAGTATGGCCATTTTCACGATATTGATTCTTCCTACCCATGAGCATGGAATGTTCTTCCATTTGTTTGTGTCCTCTTTTATTTCCTTGAGCAGTGGTTTGTAGTTCTCCTTGAAGAGGTCCTTCACATCCCTTGTAAGTTGGATTCCTAGGTATTTTATTCTCTTTGAAGCAATTGTGAATGGGAGTTCACTCATGATTTGGCTGTTTGTCTGTTGTTGGTGTATAAGAATGCTTGTGATTTTTGTACATTGATTTTGTATCCTGAGACTTTGCTGAAGTTGCTTATCAGCTTAAGGAGATTTTGGGCTGAGACGATGGGGTTTTCTAGATAAACAATCATGTCGTCTGCAAACAGGGACAATTTGACTTCCTCTTTTGCTAATTGAATACCCATTATTTCCTTCTCCTGCCTGATTGCCCTGGCCAGAACTTCCAACACTATGTTGAATAGGAGCAGTGAGAGAGGGCATCCCTGTCTTGTGCCAGTTTTCAAAGAGAATGCTTCCAGTTTTTGCCCATTCAGTATGATATTGGCTGTGGGTTTGTCATAGATAGCTCTTATTATTTTGAAATACGTCCCATCAATACCTAATTTATTGAGAGTTTTTAGCATGAAGGGTTGTTGAATTTTCTCAAAGGCTTTTTCTGCATCTATTGAGATAATCATGTGGTTTTTGTCTTTGGCTCTGTTTATATGCTGGATTACATTTATTGATTTGTGTATATTGAACCAGCCTTGCATCCCAGGGATGAAGCCCACTTGATCATGGTGGATAAGCTTTTTGATGTGCTGCTGGATTCGGTTTGCCAGTATTTTATTGAGGATTTTTGCATCAATGTTCATCAAGGATATTGGTCTAAAATTCTCTTTTTTGGTTGTGTCTCTGCCCGGCTTTGGTATCAGAATGATGCTGGCCTCATAAAATGAGTTAGGGAGGATTCCCTCTTTTTCTATTGATTGGAATAGTTTCAGAAGGAATGGTACCAGTTCCTCCTTGTACCTCTGGTAGAATTCGGCTGTGAATCCATCTGGTCCTGGACTCTTTTTGGTTGGTAAACTATTGATTATTGCCACAATTTCAGAGCCTGTTATTGGTCTATTCAGAGATTCAACTTCTTCCTGGTTTAGTCTTGGGAGAGTGTATGTGTCGAGGAATGTATCCATTTCTTCTAGATTTTCTAGTTTATTTGCGTAGAGGTGTTTGTAGTATTCTCTGATGGTAGTTTGTATTTCTGTGGGATCGGTGGTGATATCCCCTTTATCATTTTTTATTGTGTCTATTTGATTCTTCTCTCTTTTTTTCTTTATTAGTCTTGCTAGCGGTCTATCAATTTTGTTGATCCTTTCAAAAAACCAGCTCCTGGATTCATTGATTTTTTGAAGGGTTTTTTGTGTCTCTATTTCCTTCAGTTCTGCTCTGATTTTAGTTATTTCTTGCCTTCTGCTAGCTTTTGAATGTGTTTGCTCTTGCTTTTCTAGTTCTTTTAATTGTGATGTTAGGTTGTCAATTTTGGATCTTTCCTGCTTTCTCTTGTAGGCATTTAGTGCTATAAATTTCCCTCTACACACTGCTTTGAATGCGTCCCAGAGATTCTGGTATGTGGTGTCTTTGTTCTCGTTGGTTTCAAAGAACATCTTTATTTCTGCCTTCATTTCGTTATGTACCCAGTAGTCATTCAGGAGCAGGTTGTTCAGTTTCCATGTAGTTGAGCGGCTTTGAGTGAGATTCTTAATCCTGAGTTCTAGTTTGATTGCACTGTGGTCTGAGAGATAGTTTGTTATAATTTCTGTTCTTTTACATTTGCTGAGGAGAGCTTTACTTCCCAGTATGTGGTCAATTTTGGAATAGGTGTGGTGTGGTGCTGAAAAAAATGTATATTCTGTTGATTTGGGGTGGAGAGTTCTGTAGATGTCTATTAGGTCTGCTTGGTGCAGAGCTGAGTTCAATTCCTGGGTATCCTTGTTGACTTTCTGTCTCGTTGATCTGTCTAATGTTGACAGTGGGGTGTTAAAGTCTCCCATTATTAATGTGTGGGAGTCTAAGTCTCCTTGTAGGTCACTCAGGACTTGCTTTATGAATCTGGGTGCTCCTGTATTGGGTGCATAAATATTTAGGATAGTTAGCTCCTCTTGTTGAACTGATCCCTTTACCATTATGTAATGGCCTTCTTTGTCTCTTTTGATCTTTGTTGGTTTAAAGTCTGTTTTATCAGAGACTAGGATTGCAACCCCTGCCTTTTTTTGTTTTCCATTGGCTTGGTAGATCTTCCTCCATCCTTTTATTTTGAGCCTATGTGTGTCTCTGCACGTGAGATGATGGGTTTCCTGAATACAGCACACTGATGGGTCTTGACTCTTTATCCACCTTGCCAGTCTGTGTCTTTTAATTGCAGAATTTAGTCCATTTATATTTAAAGTTAATATTGTTATGTGTGAATTTGATCCTGTCATTATGATGTTAGCTGGTGATTTTGCTCATTAGTTGATGCAGTTTCTTCCTAGTCTCGATGGTCTTTACATTTTGGCATGATTTTGCAGCGGCTGGTACCGGTTGTTCCTTTCCAGGTTTAGCGCTTCCTTCAGGAGCTCTTTTAGGGCAGGACTGGTGGTGACAAAATCTCTCAGCATTTGCTTGTCTATAAAGTATTTTATTTCTCCTTCACTTATGAAGCTTAGTTTGGCTGGATATGAAATTCTGGGTTGAAAATTCTTTTCTTTAAGAATGTTGAATATTGGCCCCCACTCTCTTCTGGCTTGTAGGGTTTCTGCCGAGAGATCCGCTGTTAGTCTGATGGGCTTTCCTTTGAGGGTAACCCGACCTTTCTCTCTGGCTGCCCTTAACATTTTTTCCTTCATTTCAACTTTGGTGAATCTGACAATTATGTGTCTTGGAGTTGCTCTTCTCGAGGAGTATCTTTGTGGCGTTCTCTGTATTTCCTGAATTTGAATGTTGGCCTGCCTTGCTAGATTGGGGAAGTTCTCCTGGATAATATCCTGCAGAGTGTTTTCCAACTTGGTTCCATTCTCCACATCACTTTCAGGTACACCAATCAGAGGTAGATTTGGTCTTTTCACATAGTCCCATATTTCTTGGAGGCTTTGCTCATTTCTTTTTATTCTTTTTTCTCTAAACTTCCCTTCTCGCTTCATTTCATTCATTTCATCTTCCATCGCTGATACCCTTTCTTCCAGTTGATCGCATCAGCTCCTGAGGCTTCTGCATTCTTCACGTAGTTCTCGAGCCTTGGTTTTCAGCTCCGTCAGCTCCTTTAAGCACTTCTCTGTATTGGTTATTCTAGTTATACATTCTTCTAAATTTTTTTCAAAGTTTTCAACTTCTTTGCCTTTGGTTTGAATGTCCTCCCGTAGCTCAGAGTAATTTGATCGTCTGAAGCCTTCTTCTCTCAGCTCGTCAAAATCATTCTCCATCCAGCTTTGTTCTGTTGCTGGTGAGGAACTGCGTTCCTTTGGAGGAGGAGAGGCGCTCTGCGTTTTAGAGTTTCCAGTTTTTCTGTTCTGTTTTTTCCCCATCTTTGTGGTTTTATCTACTTTTGGTCTTTGATGATGGTGATGTACAGATGGGTTTTCGGTGTAGATGTCCTTTCTGGTTGTTAGTTTTCCTTCTAACAGACAGGACCCTCAGCTGCAGGTCTGTTGGAATACCCTGCTGTGTGAGGTGTCAGTGTGCCCCTGCTGGGGGGTGCCTCCCAGTTAGGATGCTCGGGGGTCAGGGGTCAGGGACCCACTTGAGGAGGCAGTCTGCCCGTTCTCAGATCTCCAGCTGCGTGCTGGGAGAACCACTGCTCTCTTCGAAGCTGTCAGACAGGGACACTTAAGTCTGCAGAGGTTACTGCTGTCTTTTTGTTTGTCTGTGCCCTGCCCCCAGAGGTGGAGCCTACAGAGGTAGGCAGGCCTCCTTGAGCTGTGGTGGGCTCCACCCAGTTCGAGCTTCCCGGCTGCTTTGTTTACCTAAGCAAGCCTGGGCAATGGCGGGTGCCCCTCCCCCAGCCTCGTTGCCGCCTTGCAGTCTGATCTCAGACTGCTGTGCTAGCAATCAGTGCGATTCCATGGGCGTAGGACCCTCTGAGCCAGGTGTGGGATATAGTCTCGTGGTGCGCCGTTTCTTAAGCCGGTCTGAAAAGCGCAATATTCGGGTGGGAGTGACCCGATTTTCCAGGTGCGTCCGTCACCCCTTTCTTTGACTCGGAAAGGGAACTCCCTGACCCCTTGCGCTTCCCAGGTGAGGCAATGCTCGCCCTGCTTCGGCTCGCGCACGGTGCGCACACACACTGGCCTGCGCCCACTGTCTGGCACTCCCTAGTGAGATGAACCCGGTACCTCAGACGGAAATGCAGAAATCACCCGTCTTCTGCGTCGCTCACGCTGGGAGCTGTAGACCGGAGCTGTTCCTATTCGGCCATCTTGGCTCCTCCTCTCTTTATTATTTTAAACATTATTTCTAGCTCTCTTCCGAACAAATATGGTCATACTTGCTGACCTGTAATCTGAACTTGTAACCTAATGTCAAAATCTATTGTTTATAATAAAAGAACTGGCTTTATGTTATTTTGTTTCTGAGAATGCAGAATATATCTGGCTATATTGGCCAGCAGCAACTATAGGCAATCATTAGCGTTGCCTTTCAGCTACAGTTTTTAATAGTAATATAAGAGCAATGGGTGGTGTTGTGTCCTTGAAAAGTTTTTCTTTTTTAACTTTCCTTTTCAAATCTAGCTTTTTTTAAATCACACATATATCACTTCTCTAGTTGTTGCATAAGACTGATTACACAAACCTGATTTAAATTTTCAAATATTTGTTAAATGAATTAATGGCATTTTATCTTCATGTGCTTCAAATCTCTAAGTTGCTTTTCTGTTGCTGAACAGCAAAAGTTTGTTTAACCTTTTTTATCTTTAATATTATATTGGACTTCATTTTCAGGTGTATGAATTGACATTAGCATGAAAATGCAAGAAGAAATTATTCAATAATGTATGATGTTACAGGCGATGTTAGATTCTTTCTCAGAAAATTTTTAAATAGAATACTACTTTGATAGAGTACCAGATGACATTCATTTTTAATATGAGAATTGAGTATATATTAATAATTGCTTTGGCACATTTTTGCCCCATTTGTATTCCTGGGAATGACCTCACACAATTGTATTGTCTTTCAAGTAGAAGACTCATTTAAAAGAGGCCTAATTTTATGACACTGGGCAGCTTATTCACTCTGCACATTAGATGTGAGATAAGGACAGCTAGAAACTTTCACAGGTGAATGCCTTATTTACTAATGTGATACAAAAGTACATTTTGCTCTTCTTTTGTATTTCTATTTAAATGCATACATGAAAAACAACATGTTCAACTAACCTCAATAGGAAGACTGAAGGCAGCCATTATCTAAGTGGTACAAAGGCTATACCATCTGCTACAATTATTCCCAAATTTCAGTTGATTTGCATTTCCAGTTGTTTTTACTGGAAAGGGCCATCTGTTCACTTTAATTATATACTTTTCAAATTTTTTATGTTATGTATGTCTAGCCTCAGTAAACTACAATATAATGTAAAGAAGTTATTTCTGCAATTTTTTGAATCAATTAAATGACGTAAGAGTCTAAATAATGTGATAAACTGTAAAATGACATTATGCGTTTGTTCCCCACAAGCCATTATATTAAAATGACTTCAAGTATTAAATTTAGTCTAAATAATTTGTAATTTATTCTATTCTATCATAAATCATGCTGAGATATATTTTTCTGTCAATACATGAAACCATTAGCATTTCTTGCATAAAAATCAGAAAAATACTACAGATTAAAAAATGAAGAAATGTATTTGGCTAGAGCTGGGTTTTGTTTGTTTTATTATTTGCTTGTTTTGTTGAAGTTTTACTTTTTATCTAGTTCTATTTTAAATTGTCATTTAAAAATACCCTGGTGATAGCATTCTAACCCAATAATTGAGATAATGTTGAATTTCTATCATTTTAAAAGTCAACAGTGTCATATATAATGATGCATTGATATGGTTTGGTTGTGTGTCCCCACCCAAATCTCATCTCCAATTGTAATCCACATGTGTCGAGGGAGACACCTGGTGGGAGGTGATTGGATCATGGGGGCAGTTTCCTTCATGCTGTTATCATGATAGTGAGTGAGTTTTCATGAGATCTGATGGTTTTATAAATGGCAATTTTCCCTGCACTCTCTTGCTCTCCTGCCACTTTGGGAAGAAGGTACTTGCTTCTCGTTTACCTTCTGCCATTATTGTAAGTTTCCTGAGGCCACTACACCTATGTGGAACTGTGAATCAATTAAGCCCCTTTATTTTATAAATTACCTAGTCTCTAGTATTTCTCTGGTACTTAGAGTGGGGCACTGCTATAAAGATAACCTGAAAATGTGGAAGTGACTTTGAAACTGGGTAACAGGCAGAGGTTGGCACAGTTTGGAGGGCTCAGAAGAAGACAGGGAGAAGTGGGAAAGTTTGGAACTCGCTAGAGACTTGTTGGTTTTGACCCAAATGCTGATAGTGATAAGGACAATGAAGTCCAGTCTAATGTGGTCTCAGATGGAGATGAGAAACTTGTTGGGAACTGGAGCAAATGTCACTTTTGCTGTCCTTTAGCAGAGAGACTGAATGCATTTTGGCCCTGGCCTAGAGATATGTGGAACTTTGAACTTGAGAGAGATAATTTAGGGTATCTTCCAGAAGAAATTTCTAAGTAGCAAAGCTTTCAAGGGGTGACCTGGTTGATTCTGAAAATGTTCAGTTATATATGCTCATGAAGAGATGGTTTGAAATTGGAACTTATGTTTAAAGAGGAAGCAGAGTGTGAAAGTTTGGAAAATTTGCAGCCTGATCATGTGGTAGAAAAGAAAAACCCACTTTCTGGGGAGGAATTCAAGCCAGCTGCAGATATTTGTATAAGTAACAAGGAGCCAAATGTTAGCAGCCAAGACAATGGGAAAAATGTCTCCAGGACATGTCAGAGATCTTCATGGCAGCCCTTCTCATTACAGACCCAAAAGCCTAGGAGGGAAAAATGGTTTTCTGAGGCTGACCCAGGGCCCAGCTGCTCTGTGCAGCCTCAGGACTGCCCTGCGTCCGAACTGCTCCAGCTTTAGCTTTGGCTAAAAGGGGCCCACATGCAGCTCAGGCCATTGCTTCAGAGGGTGCAAGCCCCAAGCATTGGCAGTTTCTATGGGGTGTTGGGCCTGTGGGTATACAGAAGTAAAGAGTTGAGCTTTGGGAACCTCTGCCTAGATTTCAGAGGATGTATGGAAATGACTGGATGTCCAGGCAGAAGTCGGCTTCAGGGATAGAGCCATCAGGGAGAAACTCTGCTAGGGCAATGCAGAAAAGAAATGTGGGGTTGGAGTCCCCACACAGAATCCCCACTGGGGCACTGCCTAGTGGATCTGTGAGAAGAGGGCCACTGTCCTCCAGACCCCAGAAATATAGATCCACTGATAGCTTGCACTGTGCCCTAGAAAAACCACAGGTACTCAATACCAGCCTATGAAACCAGCTGCAAGTGCTGAACCCTGCAGAGCCACAGAAGCAGAGCTGCCCAAGGCCTTGGGAGCCCACCCCTTGCATCAGCCTGCCCTGGATATAAGACATGGAGTCAAAGTAGATTTTGGAGCTTTAAAATTTATGACTGCCTGGGCAGGTTTTGGACTTGCACGGGGCCTGTAGCCCCTTTGCTTTGTTTTGGCTAATTTCTCCCATTTGAACTGCTAACATTTACCCAATGACTGTACCCTCATTGTATCTTGGAAGTAACTAACTTGCTTTTGATTTTACAGGTGTATAGGTTGAAGAGATTTGCCTTGTCTAAGATGAGACTTTGGACTTGGACTTTTGAGTTAATGCTGGAATGAATTAAGACTTTGGGGGACTATTGGAAAGGCATAATTGGTTTTGAAATATAAAAAGAACATGAGATGAGGGAGGGGCCACGGGCACAATTATATGGTTTGGCTCTGTGTCCCCACCCAAATCTCATGTCAAATTGTAATCCCCACCTGTCAAGGAGGGGACCTGGTAGGAGGTTATTGGATCATGGGAGCAGTTTCCCCCATGCTGTTTTCATGACAGTGAGTGAGTTCTCATGAGACCTGATGGTTTTATAAATGGCAGGTTCCCCTGCACACTGTGCTCTCTCCTGCCGCCTTGGGAAGAAGGTACTTGCTTCTACTTTGCCTTCTGTCATGATGGTAAGTTTCCTGAGGCCTCCCCTGCAATGCAGAACTGAGTCAGTTAAACCTCTTTCCTTTATAAATTACCCAGTCTTGGGTATTTCTTTATAGAAGCATGAGAATAGACTAATGCATGCATTAAAATAGCTTTTTGAGGTATATGAAGATATAAATGTTAAGACTACAGAAAAAAAATATGCGTATCTAAGGGCTAATCACTATTAGCCATCCTGTTTCAATTATTTGTAAATTCAAGGTTGGGAAAATTTAAATGTATTTATTTTCCAAGAAGCATTTCTAGCTATCTGGCTTATTTGCTGCTACCAATAATTAGGGAAAATGTACATTTTGGGACTAATTGATAAATAAATTAAAGTCATAGCTGAAAATTGTATTGCATTCATTAAAGTGTCTCAATTAGATTGAAACATGTTCTGGTAACCTGTGAGTAGCAATTCTCACTGTCCATTTATTTTTCAGTTCAGACAAACCTACAATTCATTGATATGATAATAAAATGCTTTATTTGGAGTACATAGTTTTTATTGAGTTTAGAATATGGGATAATCCATTCACCATTTTATCTATAATCTTCCTGAAAAACATCACCATCAATAATTAAAACTAATGTTTATAACATAGTATCAAGATTACCAGCATCATTCATCATGATTATGATCCACAGACATTTTAAATTATTAGGCCTAATAGTTTCTCTTTATATAATTCACACTATTTGTACTACCAATTGTTTTTATAACTTTTATTTTTGCCTAAAAGCTTATTTTGGATATATTTCCATTTCAGAATAAAACAAAACCTAAAATTATGCACTTTTAAAAATAGGTGCACTGTATCTTACCATATGCATTTGCCAAAATTGATTAATAATCTTCCCATTATGAGATACTTAGCCTTTTTCCTGCCTTTCAGCAACATAAGCAATGATGATCAAATATTATTGCATTCTCATATGATACATATATGTCTGAGTGCATCCTTAGGACACATTCCACACATGAACTAAAATATATAATTTTAATTTATTTTCTATTCAACAAATAATATTGTATATATTTATGGTGTCTGGTGTGATATTTTGACATACATACATTGTGAAATATTAAATCGAGCTAATTAATGTAACTATACACTGTCATATTCATTGTGTTTTATACTGGGAACATTTAAAATCTAGCCTTTTAGCGATTTTCAAGTACACAATACATTATTATTAACTATAGTCACCAGGCTGTACTATAGAACTTCAGAAGTTATTCCTCCTCTCTTGCTGAAACTTTGTACCCTTTGCCATCATCTCCCGACCCCATCCCCAGTCCCTGGTAACCACTAAGCTGCTTCTGTGAGTTCAATATTTTTGAATTCCACATATCAGTGGGATCATACAGTATCTGTCTTTCTGTGCCTGGCTTATTGTACTTGACATAATGTCCTCCACATTTATTCATATTGTTGCAAATGAAAGATTTTTTTCATTTTTAAGGCTGAATAGTATTTCATTGTGCGTTTGTATATATATGTGTATATATATAGGTGTGTGTGTATATGTATATATATATATATATATACATATACACACACAGACACACATGTATATATCACATTTTCCTTATCAATTTATCTTTGACGGATAGTTTGATTTCATAGTTTGGCTATTATAAATAATAGTGCAATAAAAACTGGAATGCAGATATATTTTCAACATGTGACTTCATTTTCTTTGGATATATACACAAAAGTGGAATTGCTGCATTATACATTAGTTCTATTTTAAATTTTTTGAGAAACCTTCACACTATTTTCCAACACAAATACACCATTTTACATTCCCAACAACAGTATATAGGAAATATATTTTCTCTACTTCCTTGCCAATACTTGTTAAGTTTTGTATCTCTGAATAGCCATTCAACGAAGTGCGATGTGATGTCTCATCATGGTTTTACTTTGTATTTCCCTGAGATTCTATTCAACATCTCATATATCTGCTCACCATATGCCCGTCATCTTTGGAGAAATGTATATTCACACATTTAATCCATTTTTTATCAGGTATTTTTTCTTGCTATTAAGGGACCTTATTTATTTTAAATATTAACTCCTTATCTAAAGGATAAGGTTTGGTTTGTAAATATTTTCTCCCATTTCATAGGCTGTTTTTTCACCTCACTCAGTTGAGTTTTAACCAGGCTTTGCAGAAGTGTTTAGTTTGATGCAATCCCATTTTTCTGCATTTGCTTTTGTTGCTTGTACTTTTAAGTTCATATCCAAAATATCATTGCCAAGACCAAAGTGAAGAAGTTTTTTCCTATGTTTTCTTTTGCATGTCGAGCATCCCTAATCTAAAAATCTAAAACCAAAAATTTTCCAAAATCTAAAATTGGGCACTGGCATGATGCTACAAGTGGAAAATTTCACACTTGACCTTATGTGACAGATTGCAGTAAAAATTCAGATGCATAACACATAGGTCATTTAGCATCTTTGAGGGAAAAGACTTTTCCAGCCCACTTCAGCTGCAACATATCTTTTTCAAGCATTCCCACCAATGATCATAAAATTGCATGTGTACAGGCCAGATGTGCTAACAGCCGGTTCCCCACTATGCTTCAGATGGGACCAAACCTACATGTGTTACTTACTATGTCTGTTGCTTATTATTTGCTCTGTGATGTAATGATATTGTTGAATATGTAAAAGGCCTGCAGATTTCTCTATGAGTAACAGTGATAAGGAAAAAAATATTTATGTTCACTTATAGCACAGAAAGTCAAACTGTTGAAGAATCTGGACAGTGGTGTAAGTATGAAAAGTCTTACAGAATTACATGGTATTGGAAAGACTAACATATATAAGTGATTTTGTCCTTGTGCAAACCTCATAGAATATACTCACACAAACCTACTATATACCTAGGATATACAGCATAGCTCATTTTCTCTAGGCTACAAACCTGTACAGCATGTGACAGTACTGAATACTGTAGGTAACTGGAACACAATGGTATTTGTCTAGCTAAACATATCTAAACATGGAAACAGTACACTATATTATGGTATAAAAGTGTATAAAAATGGTACACCTTTGTAGGGCACTTACCCTGAATGGAACTCGCAGAAAGTTGCTCTGGCTTAGTCAGAGAATGAGTGGTGAGTGAATGTGAAGGCCTAGCACATCACTATATACTATGGTAGATATTATAGACATTGTACTCTTAGGCTACACTACATTTGTTTTAAAAACTAAAGCAATTTCACTATAACGTTATGATGGCTATGACATCACAAGGTGATAGAAAATTTTTAGCTCCATTATACATAATATTTTGGTACCACTGTTGCATATGTGGTCCATAATTGACCAATATGTTGTTATACAGTGCAAAACTATATCATAAAATAAAAAAGAAAATGGAAAAGGAAAAGCAAGTTAAAAAGTAAACAGAACATAGGAAATAATACACATCAGAGAGGATATCAGTAAAATAGCAGGGAGGAAAACAAAGAAAAACAAAGACACAAATTACCAATTTGAATAATGATAAATGACAGTAATTTCTTTATATATTCTACAGATAAAATGAAAAAGATAATAGAAAGTTTATACCTAAAATTTAGCAAATAACATTAAAGAGCCAACTTCCTTGAAAGACACAAATTGTTTGAGCTCATACAAAAAAATGAATAAAATGAATAGATGTATGTACATTAAGTAAATGTGATAGAATAAGGATCTCCCTAAAACAAATTTTCAGCCCTAAGTGCTTTAAATGAGGAATTCTACCAAAATTTAATAATAAATTATACCGAACACATGTTCACATGTGTTTATCACAGCACTATTCACAATAGCAAAGACATGGAATCAACCTAAATGTTCATCAGTGATCGAATGGATAAAGAAAATGTGATACATATACACCAATGAATACTATGCAACCATTAGCAAGAGTAAGATCATTTCTTTTGCAGGAACATGGATGGAGCTGGACACCATTATTCTTAACAAACTAACACAGGAACAGAAAATCGAATACTGCATGTTCTCACTTGTAAGTGGAATCTAATCAACGAGTATGTATGGACACAAGGAAGGTAACTTTTTATCTCCTTTTAGATTTTTTGGACATCGGGGTCTACTTGAGGGTGAAGAGTAGGAGGAAGTTGAGGATCAAAAAACTACCCATTGGGTAGTATGCTTATTGCCTGGGTGATAAAACAATCTGCATAACAACCCCCCATGACACAGGTTTACCTATGTAACACTCCTGCACTTGTACCCCTGAAGTTAAAATAAAAGTAAAATTTAAAAAAAAAATTGAAAAGAAGGGGACACTTCCCCACTCATTCTATTAACCAGCATTATGACAACACCAAAACCAGATAGATGATAGATAGATAGATAGACAGATAGAGATCTAACACAGAAAACTACAGACCAATATTTCTCATAAATATATTAAATGATTCTAAAATAAATTTTAGAAAATTGACTGTAACACAATGTTAAATAATAATATGATGATAATACATCATGGTCAAGAATGATTTCACGGCCGGGCGCAGTGCCTCACGCCTGTAATCCCAGCACTTTGGGAGGCCGAGGCGGGCGTATCACAAGGTCAGGACATTGAGACCATCCTGGCTAACACGGTGAAACTCTGTCTCTACTAAAAATGCAAAAAATTAGCTGGGCGTGGTGGCGGGAGCCTATGGTCCCAGCTACTCGGGAGGTTGAGGCAGGAGAATGGAGTGAATCTGGGAGGCGGAGCTTGCAGTGAGCTGAGATCACACCACTGCACTCCAGCCTGGGCAACAGAGTGAGACTCTGTCTCAAATAAATAAATAAATAAATAAATAAATAAATAAATAAATAAATAAAAGAATGATTTCACAAAAAATACAAGATTTGCTTAACATTCAAAAATCTTTCAAAATTTTTTACCATATAAATAAACCAAACAGAAACATCACATAATACATTGAATATACACACACACACAAATTGAAGAATAATCCAGCATCTATTCTTGTTAAAGCACCTCAAAACCTGAAAGGAGATGAAAAGTTTCTTAATCTTAAAATAGATGCATTCAAAAAGGTATAGCTGACATCATAATTAATAGTAAAAATTGAATGCTTCCTCCCTCTTCTAGGACCAGGAACAAGGTAAAGATATTTTACCTTACCTCTTTTATTCAACGTTGCACTGGTGGAAATAACTAGTATAATAGGAAGACAAATGTATAAAATACGTCCAATTTTGAAAGGTAGAAGTAAAAGCTATCTGTATTTCCATATCAAATCCCTATACTCCAGGGGAAAGGAGTTTACCAAAGCCTTATAACAAACACACGGGTTAAGGACACTTACTCAACTCCAGTCTTTTTAGCCTTCCTGTCTCATCTAAGTGTGGGAATAGCTAAGAAAAAAACGTGTAAAGAACATATCAAGGGGAAACAACCACTACAAGCTGGAGAATTAATCATAACATTATAAAATGCATTACTTCCCTTTACTGGTACATCAATAAATCCTTAGTATATCAACAGGAGATTTTAGCTGAGAAAGCAGTACTGTGCAGACTATATTTAATAAGTAGTTTCTAGGTAAATGTAAAGACAATAGGAATAAAAAAAACTCACTAGAGAAAATTGGAACATCTGGCATCTACAGGTACAGCCAACATTACACCCAACTCAACTCTTAGATAAATTAACAAAAAAAAACCCAACATAAAAATTTCTCATTTTCTATTGACTGATATATTATGACCAACTTTCTTTTTTTTAAAATGGATACTACAGTTTGTTTCACTTTTTACCTATTTTTGAATTTTGTAGTTTTAGGTTGCTTCTAATTTTTCTTTTAAAATTAACACTGACAAAAAAATTCTAAAAATAAAGCTTTTATCTCTAGCTCCGTTTATTTCTAAAGGTTAATTCTTAGAAGTAGGATTATTGTGCTAATTACTATTGATAAATGGTTAACAATAGGTAAAGTCATTTTTTTTAAATGGAGTCTCGCTCTGTTGTCCAGACTGGAGTGCAATGGCACGACCTTGGTTCACTGCATCTATCTTAAGATGAGTCCTTAAAAGGAGAAAATTTTTCCCACTCTAATTACAGAGATGTAGAAGAGGAAATCAGAATGATTCAAATCATGAGAAGTTTTTGGCATCCATTGTTACCTTGAAAATAAAGGGAGTCATTTGCCAGGAAGAAAATAATAGAAAAGAAAGAAGGAAAGGAGAGGAGAGGAGAGGAGAGGAGAATGGCTTTACTCCTACAGTCACAAGAAGCAAATTTCTATTACAAATTTGAATGAAGCTGGAAGTGTTTCTTTTCTTTTTTTTTTTTGCTCCCTGAGTCTCAAGAAAAGAGCTGCAGCCTTGTGAGATCCCAAGCAAAAAACACAGTTGAGTCACACTATATCCAAATATACATACCTGTATGTATGCATTTATTTATGCAAACATGCACTATTTATATTATTTCTGTGTGTGTGTGTGTGTGTGTGTGTGTGTGTATATATATATATATAAACTCAGGAGGAACCAATAGTAGGTAACTCCAATTCCACTCAGCAGAACCAATTCTACAATTTGTTTCTTTATGTGTTGATAGAGAAGCCCCTTGTACAACAATGTAAAACCTGGCTACAATTAACCAAATATATTTACTTATTTAGTTAGTCCTATAATTTACAAAAAGAAAGTTATTTTCAGAAATGCTAACACAAGTTTTAGAAAATAAATCTAGTAATTAGAGTTTAATATTTTCTTTTTTTTTTTTGCTACATAGTATCTGTATATATTTATGGTGTAAATGCAATGTTTTGATACGGGCATGCAATGTCAAATAATCACATCATGGAGAATGGAGTATCCATCTCCTCAAGCATTTGTCATTCGAGTTAAAAACAATCAAATTACACTAATTAAGTTATTTTAAAACATACAATTAAGTTATTATTGACTATGGTCACCCTATTGTGCTATCAAATAATAGGGCTTATTCATTCTTTGTAACTTTTTTTTGTACCCGTTAACCATCCCCACCTCCCCCAACAACCCCCACTACCCTTCTCAGCCTCTTGTAACCATACTTCTACTCTCTATCTCCATGAATTCAAATGTTTTGATTTTTAGATCCTCAAATAAGTGAGAACATGTGATGTCTTTCTGTGTCTGGCTTATTTTACATAGCACAATGATCTCCAGTTCCATCCATGTTGTTGCAAATGCCTGGATCTCATTCCTTTTATGGCTGAAGAGTACTCCATAGTGCCTAAGTACAACATTTTCTTTATCCATTCTTCTGTTGGTGGACAATTAGGTTGCTTCCAAAACTTAGCTAATGTAAACAGTGCTGCAACAAACACAGAAATACAGATATCTCTTTGATATACTGATTTTCTTTCTTTTGTGTATATACCCAGCAGAGGAGTTGCTGAATTTTTAGTTTTTTTGAGGGACCTCCAAACTGTTCTCCACAGTGGTTGTACTAGATTAAACTCCAACCAACAGCGTGGGAGGGTTTCTTCTCCACATCCTCGCCAACATTTGTTATTGCCTGTCTTTTAAATATAAGCCATTTTAATTGGAGTGAGATAATATCCCATAGTAGTTTTGACTTGTATTTCTAGAATGATCAATGATGCTGAGTACCTTTTTATATGCCTGTTTTGCAAATGTTATGTTTTCTTTTGAGAAATGTATCTTCAAATCTTTTGCCAATTTTTGATCAGATTATTAGACTTTTTCTTATAGAGTTGTTTCAGCTTCCTATATATTTCAGTTTTTAATCTCATGACAGATGGGTAGTTTGCAAATATTTTCTCCCATTCTGTGAGTTGTCTCTTCACTTGTTTATTGGAACCTTTGCTGTGCAGAAGCTTAAGTTGATGTGATCTCATTTGCTGTTTCTGCTTTGGTTGCCTGTGCTTGTGAGGTATTGCTCAATAAGTATTTGCCCAGAAAAAACGTCCAGGAGATTTTTCCCAATGTTTTCTTGTAGTAGGTTTTATAGTTTGAGGTTTTTGATTTAAGTCTTTCATCCACTTTTATTTGATTTTTGTATAAATGGGGGTCTGGTTTCATTCTTCTGCATGTGATTATCCACTTTTCCCAAAACCGTTTATTGAGGAAACTGTCCTTTCCCCAGTGTATGTTCTTGAAAATTTTTTCTAAAATGAGTTTACTGTAGGTGTGTGTATTTGTTTCTGGTTCTCGATTCTGTTCCATTAGACTCTGTGTCTGTTTTTATGCCAGTTTCAGGCTGTTTTGGTTACTATAGCTCTGTAGTATAATTTGAAGTCAGGTAATGTGATTCCTCTGATTTTGTTCTTTTTGCTTAGGATAGCTGTGGATATTTTGGGTCATCTGTAGTTCCATATAAATTTTAAGATTTTTTTTTGTGAAGAATGTCATTGGTATTTTCATACAGATTGCAATGAACCTGTAGATTTTGGGGGGTTGTATGGACATGTTAACAGTATGGATTATTTCAATCCATGAACATGTAATATTTTTCTATTGTTTGGTGTCTTCTTTAATTTCTTTCATCAATATTTTATAGTTTTTGTTATAGAGATTTTTCACTTCTTTGTTTAATTTCTAGGTATTTAATTTTATGTGTGGCTATTGTAAATAGTGTATGGGGATTACTTTTTTACATTGTTCATTATTGGAATAAAGAAATTCTACTTATTTTTTATGTTGATTTTGTGTCCTTGAACTTTACTAAATTTGTTTATCAGTTCTAATAGTTTTCCTGTGGAGTCTTTAGGTTTTTTTTTTTCAAGTATAGGATTATATCATCTTAAAACAAGGATAATTGAATTTCTTCATTTCTAATTTGTGTGTCCTTTATATCTTTCTCTTGTCTACTTGCTCTAGCTAAAACTTCCAATATTATCTTGAGTAACTGTGGTGACAGTGGGCTTCCTTGTCGTGTCCCACATCTTAAAGGAAGGGCTTTATGTATTTCTCCATTCAGTATGATACTACCTGTGGGTCTGTCATATATTTTATTGTGTTGAGGTATGTTCTTTCCATCCTGTTTTAAGAAGGTTTTTATCATGAAGATATGTTGAATTCTGTGAAATGCCTTTTCAACATCAGTTGAAATTATCATATGAATTTTATCCTTTATTCTGCTGATATGATGTATCATATTGATTGATTTGCATATGCTGAACCATCCTGGCATCCCAGTGATAAATTTCACTTGGTCATGATAAATAATATTTCTAATGCATTGTTGAATTCAGTTTGCTAGTATTTTGCTGAGAATGTCTGCATTAATATTCATCATATATATTGGGCTGTAGTTTCCTCTTTTTGATGTGTCTTTGACAAGTTTTGGTATCAGGGTAATACTGACCTTGTAGAATGGGTTTGAAAGTATTCCCTCCTTTTCTATTTTTCAGAAGAGTTTCAGTAGGATTGGTATTGTTTAAGTGTTTGGTATAATCCAGCAGTAAAGCCATCAGGTCCTGAGTATTTATTTACGGAAGAATTTTTATTATGACTTTAATCTGATTACTTGATATTGGTCTGTTCAGGTTTTAGGTTTTTTCCCAGTTCAATTTTTTTAGGTTGTATGTATCTAGGAATTTATGTATTTTCTTCTAGATTATCCACTTTATTGGCATATAGTTGCTCTTAGTAGCCAGTTATGATCCTTTGAATTTCTGTTGTATTAGTTGCAATGTCTCTGTTTTCATTTCTGATGTTATATGGATCTTCTCACTTTTTTCTTAGCCTGGCTAAAGATTTGTCAGTTTTGTTTAACTTTTTTTAAAAAACAACTTTTTCTTTCATTAGTCTTTTGTATTGTTTTCTTCATTATAATTTTATTTATTTTTGCTTTGATCTTTATTATTTTCTTTTACTAATTTTAAGTATGACTTGCTCTTGCTTTTCTAGTTCTTTAAGATGTATTGTTAGATTGTTTATTTGAAGTTTTTTCTTTGTTTTGATGTAAGCACTTATAGCTATAAACTTCCCTCTGAGTACTGCTTTTGCTGTGTCCCATAAAAGTTGGTATGTTGTGTTTTTATTATCATTTGTTTTAAAACATTTCAAATTTTCTTCTTAATTTCTTCATTGTCCCACTGGTCATTCAGGAGAATATTGTTTAATTTCCAGGTAATTGTATAGTTTTAAACGTCCATCCTGTTATTAATTTCTAGCTTTTTTCTATTGTGGTTAGGGAAGATATTTGATATTATTTCAATTTTTTAACATTTTAAGACTTGTTTTTTGACCTAACATATGGTCTATTCTTGAGAATGATCCATGTGCTGAGAAAAAGAATGTGTATTCTGAAGCTCTTCAATAAAATACTCTGTAAATATCTGTTAAATCCATTTGGTCTATAGTGCAGATTAAGTCTTTGTTAATGTTTGTTTCTTTGTGTATTCTCTGTCTGGCAGATCTGTCCAATCCTAAAAGTGGGTTGTTGAAGTCTCCAACTATTATTGTATTCCGGCCTATTTCTCTCTTTAGCTCTAATAATATTTCCTTTGATAGCTGGGTGCTATAATGTTGGGTGCATATATATTTAAAATTGTTATATTCTCTTGCTGAATTGACCCCTATACTATAAACTGTATAAATTGTACAGTTAGCTGCTTTGTCCCTTCTTATAGTTTTTGTCTTGAAAACTATTTTGTCTGATATAAGTATAGCGACTATTGCTTTTTTCAGTTTTCCATTGGCATATAATGTTTTTCCCATCCCTTTACTTTCAGTCTATGTGTGTCTTTATAGGTGAAGTATTTTTCTTGTATGCAACAGATTAGTGGGTTTTGTTTTTTCATCCATTCAGCCAGTCTAGGTCTTTTGATTGGAGAGTTTAGTCCGAATGAGAGAGAGAGAGAGAGAGAGAGAGTTTGTTATTAGGAATTATCTCATGTTGCTACTAATTGGATAAATCCCAAGGTCTGCAGTCAGCAAGCTACGTACCAAGGGAAGCTGATGGTATAGCTTCAGTCTGAGTCTGAAGTCCTGAGAACCAAGAAAACAAGTAACATAAGTTCCACTTCAAGTCTGAGTATGAAGGCAGGAGAAGAAAATCTCAGATGAAAGACAGGCAGAGAAACTAATTTCTCTCTTAATCATTTTGATCCATTCAAGCCTTCAACAGATTGGATGCAACCTGCCTACACTGGGAAAGGCAACCCGTTTTACTCAGTCTACCATTCTAATGCTGATCTCATCCAGAAACACCCTCACTGACACATGCAGAATAATGTTGAATCTAATATCTGCCACCTTGTGGTCAAGTTGACACATAAGATTGATCATCACAAGTCCACTGGGGGACGGTTGGAAGGGCATGATTTTGTTTTGAAAAGTGAAGACACAAGATTTGGGAGGGGCCAGGGATGGAATTATATCATTTGGCTCTGTGTCCCCACACAAATTTCACCGTGAATTGTTATAATCCCCACATGTCAAGAGCAGGACCAGATGGAGATAATTGAATCATGGGGGCGGCTTCCCTCATGCTGTTCTCGTGATAGTGAGTTCTCATCATATCTGATGGTTTTATAAGGAGCTTTCCCCTTAGCTCAGCACTGATTCTCTCTCCTGCCACCTTGTAAAGAGGTACCTTCTGCCATGATTGTAAGTTTCCTGAGGCCCCCCAGCCATGTGAAACTATGAGTCAATTAAACCTCTTTTCTTGATAAACTACCCAGTCTTCGGTACATCTTTATTAGCAGTATGAGAATGGACTAATACAAGGCCTTAACAGAATCACCCTTAGTACTTCATTTATAGCAATACAAACTTTTCTAAGTCTTCACTTCAATACTGTTACAGACTCTGTCCGTTACTTTATTCCCAACCTGCTTCCACATGTTTTTTTTTTAAAAAAATTGTAGGTACATAGTAGGTATATATATTTATGTATATATTTATGGGGTGCATAAGATAGTTTGATACAGGCATACAATGCATAATAATCACATCAGCATAAATGAGGTATTTGTTTTAGGAATGTCCTACTCCTATAGTACCAATTTCTTTCTCAGTAAATTTTGTGCTGTTACAATATTATACCTGAGACTAGGTAATTCATGAAGATCAGAAACTTTTTCTCATGGTTCTGAATGCTGGGAAGTTCAAAATCAAGGCACCAGCATTTGGTCTGTTGAGGGGCTTCTTGCTGTGACTTCACATAGTAAAAGGCAGAAGAGCACACTAGCCGAATGCTTTGTGAAGCCTCTTTTACAAGGACCTTAATGTCGTTAATGAGAAAAAGAGCAGCCTTCGTGGCCTAGTGATCTCTTAAAGGTCTCACTACTTAATAATTGCCCAAACCTGATTTTTAGAGGGGACACATTCAAACCATAGCATTCTGGTAAGTCTTTAGGATCCTTTCAAAAATGCCGGTGGGGAGATAAACAGTATAAATTTTTGACAGTGTACGCGAGTCCTTCCTGGAGAAGTCACAGTCTCCCTTTTATTCAAGGGTTCTGAGTCTGTGAATTGGATCAAGTCTGGGGATTAATTAAAGGGGTTGACTCTGTTTTTTTCTTAATTCAAGTTAGACTTTTTCTCACTTGAGTAGTATTTTCTGCTTATGCAGATTAAATAAGAATGTAGCAGACTTCCTGTCTATTTCACTTCTGGCAACACCATGATCAACTAGCCAACACCATAGGTCTATGAGTCAGATTCTTTTGATTACTGCTTTGACTCTGCTATCCATTATGAGAAACATAACCCCACTGCCTTTAGTAGCTGAGTGCTGTCATGTGATCCCTGCCACCCAGAGATCTAATTACTGCCATTGCATTTAGTTTTCCCAATTCGGGGACTGCAGTCCCCACGATAAGGTCTGGCCTACAGAGAAAAGTGAACACAGAGCTGCTCAAAAATTCCAAGCCTACTCTCACAAATCTATTTCTTACAGTAGTGGTGAGAGATGTGTCTACTGGAAACTCTCGGTCATGTTAACTAAGTCTTAATTTTATGAATAAAGGCCTACTCTGCAATATGCCTAAGCTTTTCAACCACTTTATCTATATTTAACTTAGGCAGGTTGGGAATTTCCAGTTCACTCACTGTAGGCTATCTTTTGGTTCATGCTTCAGTCAACCAACCAAATAAACTGTGAAAGTACTTTATAACTCTCTGATTCACAGCATTAAATGTGGAATCTCTACTTAATGAGCCCATATCAATAAATTTAGTCTGTTCAAACTTTATATTTCTTCCTCCATTATCCCACACCTTTAATATCCATTTCCACACATATTCCTTGTATTTATGTCTATATAAATTGGAAAATTCAAGTAAGTTTTCTGAAATGTAGTGTACTTCCTCCAAGGTCACACTTTGTGTCTCACTTTTTGGGGCCTGCCGGGACTGGAGTCTGGTTATAAATCTAGAAGCAGGTAAGGGTGGTGGAATGAGTTCTGAGAAGAATCAACATTGTGTTACACGGCACTGATTACAGAGAGTCCATTATAATTTCCTCAGGCAATGCAGGATTAAATCCCTTAGAAAGGGGTGTAAAGGCCACTACCACTTGGGGTGAGGAAGCCACTACTACTGAGGCTGAGGTGGCTGCTTCCAATGGTGTCAGAAAGTCTCTTCCACTGGCAAAGAAGACTCATCAAAATTGAGGGCCTCATCTCCCCAGCTTTATCAGGGTCTTTTCACACTCCACCATTCTAACATTCAATGTCCCATTCTTTCCTAATCTAAGCCCTCACTTTACTTTAACAGTAGACATGCTGTGAGGCTTTGAGTTCAACCTGTATTGTAATTCACACACTCAAAGGATGAGGTTTTGTATTTGATTTTCAGCAGCCTCAGTCAAGCAGTGACAGGCAATAAGGATCCTCTTCAGAGCACATATAAAAACATACATGATATTTGTCTCAGTAATATAGGTAGCTTCCCCTTTTTGGTCTGTTTTGTAGGGTTTTCATATAAGTGTTTAGGCTGAAATAAAATATTTTCTAAAGTAATCTGTTGCAATTGTATTTCTTATGTATTTAAAGCCATCATTGACTTCCATCTCACTTATTCATTGTAATTTTTCTGAAATTTTCAATGCATCCCATATATTAATATTGAGATATTCTTACTTAAAGTCTAAAAGCAGCTCAAAAATATGCTTTTCAAATGAATCTATTCTATGGCTTCATAAAATTTGAGAGTCACAGAATTAATATAGACAGATCTTCCCAATATTTTCTTTTCCTTTTTTAATTTTAGTTTTTTTTAGGCAATTGTATAAGTGATTTTTTCTGAATAATTTTGAAAGGAAATTGAAACCACTAAATGTATGACTGTCACTACTTCCAGATAGTACTCAGATTGTTTTTGAGAAATACATTGTTTATTTTATTCTATCAATGACTAATAGTAAAACACCCAAAATCATTTCAATTAATTTGTAATGAATGTTTATCTAAAGTGTTGTAGTCCATATGTGTAAAATATTTATATTAGTGATAGACTAACATTTCTGAACAGCAATGAGCAACTTGAAATACTTCCTTCTTAATGAAACTAAGTATTATATTAAAAACTGACTAAATTGAACAGTTAAGCTGTGCATTGTGTACATATGCATACAAACACATTGAGGTAGACCAATTACAAGCAATCACCAAATTGTCAAAAGTTTATATTTTAAACCAAAATGCCTTCAGCTTTTCTTGACCCATATAGATTAATCAATAACTAAAAACCACATATTCAAATTTTAAGCATAAAAATTTTTTTACATCTACGATTCAAGAAATAGAAGGTAAGAAAAAGTACATCTATATTTCAGAATCATAATATGAGATTATTCAATAATTTCAACACTCAAACAAATGCTGTCCAATGGAAATATGACAGTTTTAGATTTTCTAGTAGTTACATTTAACTATGTAAAGGAGAAAAGTAAAAATTGTATTAATATGTTTTTGTTAACCCAATATGTTTATGATATTATCATTTAGTAAGTAATAATTATGAAAATATTAGTAAGAAATTTTAAGTTTTTACATCCTAAATTGTTAAAATCTGGTATTTTACAATTACAGCACATCCTTATTTGGATTACCAACCTTGCAAGTTCTCAATAGCCACATGTAGCTAGTGACTAATGTTTTCCAAAATGCAGTTCTAAACTAGTTAATCAAGATGGACAGCAATATTTTTGCTAGCATAAATCAGCATGTGGAACACTGATATTTTTGAACATTTAGCATTTAAGGGAGGTAATTTTTAAAACCTATTGATAAAATTTCTATTACAATTGTTAAAAAGACAAAACAAAATCACCTGCCAATGTGGATTTATTTTTTTGAGTGGTAACTGTTACTTGAGTTTGTACAGTGTGGCCCTGATCAATTTGTGGCAGAAAACAAAATTGCAGGACACTATTATAAATGACTTAGAAAATATGGAACTTTCTCAAAATGTTTTTGCAATCTCAACCAATCCAAAGAGATTCTATATATTTTTTAAAGAAATGAAATTTTGTGGGAGGTATTATTTAACTGACATATATGCTATTTTCTTGAGCAAGTGGTCAAACTAATCAAGGCACATAGACATGGAAAGTTCTTGATATGTACAGAAATAACTTTTGATTTATTTATTTTTAACAAAATTAAAAATCAAAGGAAAATATTTCCATTAATGTGAACACATTCTTGTGGTAAAGCGATCTAGCTCTAAATTAGACATATCTAAGATTAAATTGTAATGTTTTCAACTACAGAGGTTTTTCGAATTATGATGGGATTACATTCCAATAAACCCATCCTAAATTAAAATATTTTAAGTCAAAAGGCATTGACTTACAAGATAAGATAATCAGGATTGTGGATTGTGGAAGTCCTAACTCATGTGCAATGGCCATTACTGGCTTGCCCACTTTGTGCTGAGCAATTACATTGTTTCACCTCAAGAGTAATTGCCTTCTTCTTCTTCTCACCAGGAAAAGCATGAGACACAGATGGACATTTTGTACACATGATGGGATGCAAAAACACAAAACACAATATCCCAAAACCACTGGCAACAGAGTATACTGTAGCGGTTATTTAACCTGATGATCACATGGCTATCTGGGAACTGTGGCTCTCAGCCCCTGCCCAGTATCACAATAGAGTATGATGCTGCATATTGCTAGACTGGGAAAAGATCAAAATTCAAAGTATAGTTTCTATTGAATGTGTATTGCTTTCCCACCATTGTAAACTCAAAAATTCCTAAGTCAATCCGTTCTAAGTAAGGCTTAAAATAAGACCTCACTTCCTCAACTTTAAAGTGAGAAAAAACAACATCGATACAACAGGATAATTATAACTGTAATTTAAATTAGATGAGCATCAGCATATACAGCATAATGTCTGGCACCTGGTGAGCACTCACATTTGTGCATTAATGCAATATATGCAAACTTTCGTGATAGTATTTTTACTAATATTATTAATTTTGCTCTTAAAATTGATGCTAAATATTGTGTTTTGTTCTTGAAATTGATTATAAACAGTTTTAGTATTTGACATTAACCAGGTTAATTGCAGCCAACACAGAAAGACAAATCAGAGAACATATGCACTTGCTATAGTTTCAGCTAGTATTTGAAGGTAACTCTGGAAATAATTAATTGAAATTACGGAAGCCAAAAATAAGAAGAGTCATACATTTGGAAAGGATTAATTTGGATAAATTAATTCTAGGGGGATAAAATATGCATCTATATTCTGAGTAACTTACAGAAAATAAGGACCCAAACATTTGTCTAGGTGGTTATATGCCAGAACCACTATCTAGGAAGTTTAAGTGTTGTGTATAACATTTGTAAAGGCAGTGCTAGATTTAATTTAAAGATAATATTATAAATTCTTAAAACAGAATAAATTATAATATTTGCCACAGAATAATGATCAAAATGATTAAAACTGCATTTGAATTTTAGTCATAAGCTTTGAGAGTGAGTTCTGTTTAGAAAGTTAAAATAAAAATTTTGAAAAATGTATTTGTAAAAATTCCTTAATTTATATATATTTAAATAATATTCAAAAGGCACTGGCATATTTTTGGTCAGCTAAATTTCAAATTAATTTCTTTTATTAACAGCTACAAATATGTTTTTAAAAGAATGCAAGGTCCTTGGCAAGAAAATAAATAAATAAATACTAATGTTTTCCTCAAGCTAATAGTTTATTTCTAAAAAATTGACAAGATAATAATATCTTTAAAAATGCTTAAAATGCATTCCAAATCTACTAAAATTACAGAGAATAAAATAGCATGTTCCTATGAATGGGCTATAATAAGTGGCTATAGTCTGTCATATATACTTTCAATATTTCTAAAAGAATTATGTGAAACAAAATATTGTGCACACATTTGTTGTTCATTTTCCACCTTCATTTCTTCCTATGGCTGAATAATATTTCATTATATGAATATATCACATTTTGTTTAAACATGTTTCAGTTGATGTATAATGAGTTGTGCCCACTCTTTGGCAATTATGATTAATGCTTCTACAAACACTTGCATAGAAATTTTTGCATGGACATATATTTTCATTTCACTTTGGTATTTGTCTGGGAGTACCATTGCTGGGTCATATGCAAATGCCATGCTTAACTCTCTGAGAATTTGCCAAGCAGTTTTTCACCAGAAATATATGATGGTTTCAGTTTTTCCACATCCACACTAACACTTTTATTAACTATCTTTTTTATTGTAATCATCCTAGTGGGCATGAAGTGCTATCTCATTGTGGTTTTGATTTGCATTTGTATGGTGGCCAATAACGTGAAACATCTTTTCATGTGCTTATTGGCCATTTTTGAATCCTATTTGATGAAATGTGCAATCAGATTCTTTAACCATTTTTAACTGTGCTACCTGCTTTTTATTATTGAATTGGAGGTGTTTATGTATTTTAAACATATGTCCTTTATGAGAAATATAACTTTAAATATTTTTTCTATCCTCTGGGTTGTCTTTTTATTTCCTGACAGTATCTTTTGCAGTACAAATCTTTTAATTTTATGAAGTTCATCTTTTTTGTTATTGTTTAGGTGCTTTTGGTGTCATTGCCTAACCCAATGTCATCACATTTTACATGTATTTGATCTAAGGGTTTTATAGTTTAGCTCTTACATTTGAGGATTTGATCCATTTTGAGTTAATTTTTGCATGTGAAATAAAATGGAGTTCCAACTTTTTTAAGATATTTAAAATTCCAATTCCAATTGTTTACTGTCATTATATAGCAATATGACTGACTTTTGTATACTGACCTTGTATCCTGCAAATTTTCCACAATGACTTCTTAGTTCTAAGAGTGGTTTTTGTAGTTTATAAAAAATGACTCTCTATAGCAATTATGCTGTTGGTGAATAGAGAGTTTTTGTTTTCCTTCTTTTCTGAACAGTATGTCTTTTATGTCCTTTTCTTGTTGCACTAGCTATAACTTAAAATATTATTCTAAATAGGGGTATTTAGACTTGAGATCTGTAATTGAGTTGCTTTCAATTTTAAGGGAAAAGCATTCAGTCTCGCACCAGTAATTGTGATATATAGCTAACTATTGGCTAACCATCAACAAACAATAACCAGATATTGGCTACTAGATAACAATAGCTAACTATTGGCTTTCTGCAGGTAATCTTTTTTAGGTTTAAGTTCCCTTCTTCCTTAAACTATTGAGAATTTAGATCATGGTTGGATATTCAATTTTGTGTACTGCTTTCCCTGCATTTATTGATGTGGCCATACAACTTTTTTCTTCTTTAGACTATTAATAGAGGCTGATTTTTAAAATACAGAAAGTATTATCATTTGGCTGGATCCTACTGTGTAATTATGTATTAGACATTTTATATATTGCTGCATTCAATTTGCTAGTATTTTGTTGAGATTCTCCTATGTTCATGAGTATATTTGTCTATAGTCTTCTTTATCATAATATTGTATTGTTTGTGGTTTAATTATCAGTGTAATGCTGGGCTCATAATGAGTTGGAAAATATTTCTTACTCTGCTAGTTTCTGAAAAAGACGTGGTATTTAATGCTTCCTTAAGTATTTGGCAATATCAACTAGTGAAACCTTCAGGATCTGGAGATTACTGTTTTCTTTCTTCTTTGTTTCAAGGTGTTACATACAAGCTCTAATTATTTAAAAGATATGGGGTTATTTAGAGTTTCTATTCTTAAAACGAGTTTTGATAGGTAGCGTATATCTTGGAACTACTCTATGTCCCCTATGTTGTCAAATGTATGGGCATAAAGTTATTTGAAAGTTGTATTTTTTCAGTGTTGGTGAGGCCAAGCACCATGTTTTCTCATTATTTTCTAATATTGGTAATGTTAATGTTGTCAATTATTTCTTAGTATAGTTTGGATTTGGCTAATTTTAATGATATTTACAGACAGCCAGGTTTTTTGTTTGTTTGATATATGACACCTGCGTTTTTTGTTTTAATTTCATTGATTTCTATTTTATACCTTTAAAATTATTATTTACTTGATTCTGCTTTTGTTTTAATTTGTTATTTATTTTAAAGATGAAAGCTTGTTACTAGTTTCATTTAGTTCTTAACTTCTACCATAAACATGTATTCCTAGAAATATCCCTCTAAACACTGCTTTAGGGGCATCAAAAAAATACTATGTTGTATTTTCAGTTCATTTCAGTTCAAAATCTTTTTGTATTGTTTTTGGGACTTCCTTATTGACTCATATACTATTTAGAAGTGTTCTAAATTATTCAGAAATATTTTTGGATTTTCCAATTATATTTATAATATTGACTTTTAGTTTAATTCTGTTGTTGTCTAGGGCATGCTGTGTATTATTTATATTATTTAAAATTAGCTAAATTGTTTTAATGGTACTGAATGTGTACTGCTTGGTGATCGTTGCTTTGAGAAAAATATATATTCTGCTATTATTAGAAAGTGTCCTATAAATCTGAAATAGGTCGGGGTAGTTGAAAGTGCTATTGAGGTCATCTTTATCTTAACTGATTTTTGCCTAGTATTTTATCAGTCAGGCATAAACTCAAAAGTCTGAAGTCCAACATCTTAGCTAAGTAGTATCTAAATCAGATATTTCCTTCCAACTGTGAGTCTGTAAAATTAAACATATTATCTGCATCCAAAATATAATGATGGGACAGGCACAAGACAGACATTTCTATTCCAATAGGAACAAATAAGTAAAAAAGCGTGACAGGTCCCAAGCAAGTCTAAAACCCAACAAGGCAAACACTATTACCTGTAAAGTTTCCAGAGCAATTTTCTTTGTCTCGATGTCACTCAGGAGAAGGCCCTGCCTTCAGGACACATTCAGGAAAAGGTGATGCCCCTGCATCTTTTCCCTAGAAAAGTTAGGCCCCCAAGGCTTTAAGCAGCCTCATCCCCATAGCTTTTTTTGGAAAAGCCCACACCACAGATCATACAGCTATGACCCTAAAAGTCTGTGGTTTGTGAGGGGAGGTCCTGCTACAAGTCTCAGATGGTCATTGTCCAGTGAAGGATCTCTGCTGGTGATCCCACTCCACGTTATGCTTTTCTGCCTGGTTCCCTGCAGCTCAGCTCTCCGGGACATTCTTTCATATCTAGGTAGAGGCTTCTGTGCTCTTACAGCTTTCCTGGGCATAGGACATTGCTGTACTGGGGCCTACTATAGCTGGAACTCAGGCAGCTGGGTAGTACTGTAACTGAGTGCAGGAAGCAGAGCCTGTGACCCCATATTACTCAGTAGACTTGACATGAGTGAGTAAAGAACCAGTGAGTTTGATGACAGGTAAAGATAAACTTTAGTTATCAAACTAAAATGGAAAAAAAGTAAAATAAATAAAAGCAAAGTAAAATCAAGCCAAACCAAAAAAGAACATCCAAGAATCATGGTAAAATTACAAAATGTAATTGGAATATCTGAAAGAGAAAAGATCAGAAGAAGTATTTGAAATAAAAATGACTGGAGAACTTTTCTAATTTAATAACAAACACATAACTACTGAATCAGGAAGCCAAAGAACAACCACCAGAATACATACCACTATTAATTTGTTGGGACTCTCATAACAAAACACCACAGATTGGGTAAGACTATGGCTTAAATAACAAATTAATTTTCTAACAGTAATGAAGTCCAGAAGTCTGGGATCAAGGTGTTAGCAAGTTTGATTCCTTCTGAGGCCTCTCTCCGTGGCTTGAATATGGCCGCCTTCTTGCTGTGGGTTCATATGATTATGTTCTTATGTATGTATGTGTCTGGTGTATCTTTCTGTGTTCTGTTCTTGTCTTTTTAAGAGGACATCCATTATATTAAATTAGGTCTCACTGTAATAAAAATGATTTTAACTTATTTACCAATTTAAAGGCTCTATCACTAAGTAAAGTCTTATTTTGAGGTTTTTGGGGATTAGAGTACCAACATATTAATTGGGGTGGGGGGGCGGCATAATTCAGCTCATACCAATACACGACCCAAAAATTCACTTATGAATCTCATATACTGACTGTTTTCAACACGCAAGCATCAATTAATATAATCCACCACATTCATAGATTAAAAAAGAAAAAATATATAATTATATCAAATGATGCGGAAAAATCATTCGACAAAATCCAATACATATCTATGACCAAAACCTCAGTAAACTAGAAATAAAAGGGAATGTCATCAACTTGATAAAGAACATCTAAAAAATCTGTAGCTGACATCATGCTTAATAGTAAGAAACTGGACATGTATCCTCTAAAATCTGGAACAAGGTAAGAATATCCTCTCTTTCCACTCCTATTCATAATGTACCAGAATTTATAATTAGTGCAATAAGACAAAAAAGGAAATAAAACATATTACAATTGGAAAGAGAGATATAAAACCATCTGTATTTGCAGATGCCATTTTTAAAGAATCAACCAAAGAACTCCTTGAAGTAAGTATAGCAATGTCTCAAGATACAAGATTAATATATGAAAGTCAATTGCTTATATATATTCCAGCCATTAACAATTCAAATTTTCAATTTAAATAAAATAATACCACTTATAATGGCATCCTGAATAAGAAATACTTAAGTATAAATCAAACAAAATATGTACAGAGCCTATATACAGAAAACTAAAAAACACGGATAAAAAAATAAAATAACTAAATAGATAGATATTCCATTTTCCTAATTTGGAAGATGCCTTATTGTTAAAATATAAATTAATTCCAACTTGACCTACACAATCTGTATTCCACTGTTCTCACACTGCTATAAACTACCCAAGACTGGGTAATTTATGAAGAAAAGAGGTTTAATTGACTCACAGTTCTACAGGCTTAACAGGAAGTATGACTGGGAGGCCTCAGGAAACTTACAATCATGGCAGAAGACAAAGGGGTAGCAAGCATGTCTTACCATGGTGGAGCAGCAGACAGAGAGAGAGCAAGGGGGGAAGTGTCACACTTTTAAACCATCAGTTCTCTTGAGAACTCACTCATTGTCACAAGAAGAGCATAAAAGAAATCTGCCCCCATGATGCAATCACCTCCCATCAGGTTCCTCCCCTGACACATGGGGATTACAATTCAACATGAGATTTGAGTGGTAACACAGAGCCAAACCACATCAAAATCCTAATCGAAATTACAGCAAACTGGTGTGTAAATATTGACATAGTAATTGCAAAGTTTGTATAAAAATGGAAACAATCTAGAATATCCAACACAATACTGAAGAAGAACTAAGTTGGAAGACTTACGCCACTTAATTTCAAGACCTACTCTAAGGCTACACTGTATTGACAAAAGAATAGGAAAATAGATCAATAAAAAAGTATAGGCATCCCATATACAGACCCACAAAAACATAGTCAATTGATCTTTGATAAAAACCAAAGGCAATTCAATGGAGTAAGGATAGTTTTTTAAACAATGGAGGCTGGAAGAATTGTACACCCATATGAAAGAAAAACATAAACATGCACGCCAACCTTATACCTTACACAAATACACACGTACACACAAACACAACTCATGGAGGGTATGTCTAAAGGAAACAGGAAACAACTGAAAAAGCTCTAAATGGCTAAAGCTGGAACAATTTAAGCAACAAAATCAATAAAGTTGTATTTGGTTATAACTGAAAGTATGAAATAGGTATTCATCAGTCCATAGTTATGTAAACCAGTGATTAAATAAATAAATATTTTGGGAAGAACACACATATATTCCAAGTAGAATTTCCAATAATTTAGGTAGATATTTCATGCATAGCAACTTTCTTCTAAAGAGTACAGTATGAAGATAGAGAGTAAGAGAAAAAAAAGTAACTTTGCAGTGGAGAGACCTGAAAAACACTAACACAATCCAGGAGATTCAGGTTAATATTAAATATGACAAGTCATACTGATAATGATATGGGAGAGTTCCCTTATCCCCTTCCCTGGGCACGCAACAGAGATGTGGCTCACTTCTTCAGTGCCCTGCTGCTCAAACCCCTAGGGGGAACATGCAGACGGGTGGGTGTAGAGGTCTTGGGGAGCGCTTTTGGGTTCCGACCCCATGGCAGTGTCTAGGATGAGTGTTTATGACTCCCGAAGCCGAAGTGGGTGTGTGTTACAGTGTGCTCTTTCAGCTTTGCCATTTTCAGACGGCTTGTGTGAGTCAGCTCAATTAGACCCTCTGCCTTATTGCAAGGGCAGAGGGCTTTGTGTATTCTGAGCTCTTGCTTGTGTACCAGAAAAATAGAAACACAGATGGGCTTGGAGGATGAGTGCAAGGTTTTATTGTTTTATTGAGTGTGGAGGTGGCTCTCAGTGAGGTGGATGATAAGCTGGAAGGGGGATGTTGTGAGAAGGCGGTCTTCTCCTGGAGCTGGGCTGCCCAGAGGCCAGACTGTTCTCTGACTGCCCCGAGCCGAAAGTCCCTCCGTGTCTGTGTTGTCCCACCGTCACTGGTCTGCTGGTGTCTGCTTGTGTGTTCCTCTGCTCCTCTAGATAGATGTCCAGCTGCTTGTATTTGCCTGCAAAGGTCTCGGTTTTTTATGGGCACAGGATGGGGAGTGTGCAGACCAGAGTGGTCTTGGAAAATGCAGCATTTGGGTGCAAAAACAGGAGTGCCTGTTCTCACTTAGGTTCGTAGGCACAGGCCTGAGGGTGGAGCCCTTGCAAGGGACCGTACACTTCTTTGCCCAGCACTTCTCTGCCCTCCTCTCGTATCAATAGTATGTAAATGTGATGTGATAAGAATAGTGCTTTAACACCATGGTAGCAAAAAGGTATTACTTCAGTAAGATCACAAGGAAAACATCAGACAATCTTCAACTGAGGAACATGCTACGCAGTACCTGCCTATCCTCACAATGATGAAAGCCATAACAAAAAAAAAAGATAAGTCTGAAACATTGCCACAACCAAAGGAATCTAAGGAGACATGCATAACTACTAAATGTAATGTAGCATCCTAGATAGGATCTTGGAACCAGAAAGGGCAAATGAGAAAATGCATGAGTGAGGAAATACAAATAAAATATAGAGTCTAATTAATAATAATTTATCAGTATTGACTAATTAATAATTTATCAGTATTGACAAATGTACAATCCTACATATTATGTTAATAATAGAAGAAATTGGGTGTGAGGTATATAGGAACTTTCTATACTGTATTCATAATTATTCTGTAAATGTTAAACTGTTCTAAAATAAAATAATTTGGCAGAGATATGCTTCTCTGCAATCCTCCATCTAAGCACAACTGTAAAAATAACACATGATACATCTAGAAACACGTAAGAGGAGAGCTCTGAATAATAGCAAGAAGGTGGAAAACTGCAGGGTTCCTTATATCCTCCCACTTAACAGAAAGAAGCATCCCAAGCCCAGCATTTCCTGATTTCCAACACAGCAGCAGTTGCCATCACAGGTAGTCTTATTCCTCTCCTAGAATAAAAGAGAGACCTATGATGTCAGGAAAGCCTGACAAGAGGAATTATTTTGAGCTCTGGTAACAAGAGGAGGCCAGCGAAAGTGTTCTCTTTCACTGTTGATCCTGACACTCCCCTCACCCATGAGAGATACTGAAATGAGCAGGCAGAACTGGCAAGAGATATCTGACCACAATGTGCTACCTGTTTCAGGAAGCCTCTTTGTACCCACAGTCCTCATAGTCTTTTGCCTTCACTCAATGGGAAGCACTGAATGGCCAGAGACCACCAGTAACCCAGCCAAAATAATGGTTCATCCAGGGTTGCCTCTAAGCCTGTTTATCCCAGTGTCTCTGAGAGTTCCCTTTTCTGCCCATAGGAATCCCTGCACAACAAATACCCTGGTCAAAAAGCAATTTCCATTTCTCACATTCAGAAGAGGCTCTGTCACAACAAGTACCTGGCAAGGAAAGCTTCTTTACATTACATATTTGCCTGTGACTCCCTGACTCCTGGAGAGACATCCAGTAACTCAGCCTAGGGAAATCCCTTCTGTACCCTTAGTCAGTACCAGCAATAACCAGTAGCAGCCATAGTAGCACCATATAAGCCATCTAGCCTCAAATAACACCACAATGACTCTGAAAATCAAATCATCGATTAAATCACTGCTGACAAAAGTAATATGGAACATACATATGAAATTTAGACAGAGTGAATTCTTGCTAAAATAAAAGATTTAAATAGGACATAGTCTCCCAACATAATAGACAAAATGTCCAGGACACAACAAAAGGATCAAACATTAAATCAAGAAGCAAGAAAATAAATGAAACTGACGCCAACACTGAGATAAATTAGATTTGAGAAATATCTGACAAGAATTGTAAAGCAGCTATCTTAAAAGTGCCTTAATAAGCACGTATAAATATAAATACTTTTCATATGAATATAAAAAATAACCAAATTAAAATTATAGAGGTATATTGCAGTAAGTTAAAGAAAAAAAACTTGGTGAATTTTTTATGGTCGTAACAAATCTGACACGTGTGAGGTAATATTCCATAACAATTTTAATTTACATTTCCCTGATAATTACTGATGTTGAGCAATTTTTCATACATCTGTTGGCCATTTGTATGTCTTCTTTTGAGACATGTCTATTCAGGTCTTTTGCTCATTTTTAAATACAGCTTTTTTTCTTGTTATTGAGTAGTTTGAGTCTCTATATATTTTGGATATTAGCTCCTTACCTGATGTATGATTTCCTAATGTTTTCTCCAAATCTGTGAGGTTTTTTATTCATTATATTAGTTGTTTTTTCACCACATTGTACCCCATAAATATATACAATTATTTGACAGATAGAATAAAATAAAACTGAAGATAACTGGTAAACTGGAGAAGACAGATGGTAGGATCTGTCAACTTGTAGACAGATCAATAAAATTAAGTCAATCTGCACAATAGTGGAAATAGATTTAAAATATTAGCAGAGCCCCGAATTCACATGGGACAATACCAGATGATGTAGTGTTCATATAATCAAAGTCCACAAAAGACAGGAGTAAGAGAGTGGAGCTCAAAGATAATTCAAAAAAATGATGCTTGAAAACTACCCAAGTTTGATGAAAGACATAAATGTACCTAATTAAGAATTTGAGTGAATCTGAAATAGTATAAATAAACCGAAAGAACTTTATGCCAAGTATAAATAAACCCAAAGAACTTTATGCCAAGACACATTTTAATTAAATTACTCAAAACTAAAAGCCAAGAAAACACCTTGGGCGCAGACAGAAGGAAATGACATGGAAACTACAGGGGAACACTAAGTCAAATGACACTGGATAATTGAGGGCAAAAGGAAAAGGCACAACAATTTAAAGGGCTGAAAGAAATTCACTATCAATCACAAATGTCATATTTGGCAAATTATCCTCCAAGCATGAAGTGGAAATAAAGACATTGTCAAATGAAATAAAAATAATTTGTTGCTAACATACTTATCTATAAATAACATTCACAAAAATTTATTCTAACGGGAAGGAAATAATAAAAGAAGCAATCTTCAAGCAGAAGACCAGAACAAGAAACACAAAAGAAATAGCAGAAATAGGGGTACCAAAAAAAGTATTCATTTTGTTATGAATTTTATAAATTATATTTGATAATTGAAAAAAGACCATTTGATACTCAAGACTATGATATTTTAAATGGAGAAAGTGAATAGACCTTAATGGAAGTAAGATTCTTCTGCTTTGCTCAGTGTCAAAATGTTGCTCCCCGTAGGTTGTGATAAGTCACATAGGTGTACTATAATACCTAGAGCAATCACCATAAAAACACTACAAAACTGTTTACATTAGAAAACTAGATATGTCTCAAATCAATAATCTAAGTTACTGTCTCAAAATTCTAGAAATAAAGAGTAAAATAAATCTACAGCAGGCATATATAAGTGTAATAAAAATCTTACCAGAAACCAATGAAATTGGAAGCAGGAAAACAATAGAGAACAAATGAAACAAAAAGCTGGTTCTTTGATATTGTGATGTTGTGATATTGTGATATTGCATTATTATTTTGCAGAATATCACCATTGATGGGTAAATATGTACATGGCATACTGTGTATTTTTTCTTAAGTTGTATGTGATTATGTGTGAAATTACTATTACTGGATAAAATTTCAACTATAAAAGATACTCAGTAAAAACATATTTGAAACATAGGTAGAAGGCAATGACAAAAATATGCAGATATATAATATAAAAATTAAATAGCACTTTCAGGTCTGGCATGCAAAAAGCTTAGAAGTAATCACTCCCATCCTTACAAATAAAAACAAAAATAAGTGGAACTAACTAGAAATCAACAAATTTTCTTCAATTCATCAGAGTATTGATATCATAGTAGAAACCATTGCTCCCCAAATGGAAGAAACAGACATGCTGATATAGACAATCACAGCTACCAAAGAAGCAGCCCTGGAGCAGAAAACTCCATAGGAACCAGTACCAAATAGAACAACCTGAATGTTAATTGAAGACTTGCTGGAGGCTCAATGTGGACAACCCTGAGTTAAAAAAACTTCAAAGGGGGCCAGTCTTTGCAATATCTACAGTTTATTTATTTATTTATTTATTTATTTATTTATTTATTTTTATTTTTTATTTTTTTAAGACGGGGTCTCACTCTGTGGCCCAGGCTGGAGTGCAGTGGCGCAATCTCGGCTCACTGCAAGCTCCGCCTCCCAGGTTCACGCCATTCTCCTGCCTCAGCCTCCCGAGTAGCTGGGTCTACAGGCGCCCACCACCATGCCCAGCTAATTTTTTGTATTTTTAGTAGAAATGGAGTTTCACCGTGTTAACCAGGATGGTCTCGATCTCCTGACCTAGTGATCCGCCCGCCTCGGCCTCCCGAAGTGCAATATCTACAGTTTTGTGAGTTTACCTCCAGGAGCTGTACCAAGTTCTCACAGTGAAGAGCCTAGAAAATTCTCCTCATGCTTCTGGTAGACAGAAAAAAAATTAATCATTTAAAAATATAATCAGAGCATTCTGTTCTTCTTAGAAATGCTGGCTATCAAGAGAAACTATTTACAAGAGGTTGACTAACTGCAGTTTTACCAGAGCCTAACTGACCTGAAAGAAGAAATATACACTCCAGCCACTCTCTAGTATTCTCTGTAGGGGAAGATAAATACCCATTTTCAGCCCCCTTTCATCATGCTGTCTTACCTAAATGACAAAACAAAACTTAGAACCAATTTGGAAGGTCACAGCCCAGGGACACAGGGTCACTAAAAAACTGACACAAAATCGTAGGACTATAGAATGATTCCCCTCTCCTAATATCTTACTACTAAATAAATATGTCTCCTTCATAATAATAATAAAGGAGTTATTAAGAAATAACTTTTATGCAGCTAGGAAGGGTGGTTCTTGGTGGAATTTTCCTTTAATAAAAAGCAAGCCTTGAACCATTTCCTTTCTAACAGAAAGTGGCTTGAAAAACCAGAACAGCAAGCATTGATATGCAAATGCCAGCAGCTAGAAACCAGTTCCACCCAACATGGTGGTTCTCGCCCTCTTCTCTTGTCACCATGTGTGCCAGGTGTCATGGCCACCCCCAGATGACACCACGTGTGCAAGACATCATGGCAACCCACATCTGCATATTAAAAGGCTAGGGTGGGAGGGCCAATTTTTTCATGGGCTATGTGAATGACACACGGGTTCAAACCAATCCCCTGGGCCCTATGTAAATCAACATCGCCTCCTCCAGCCTCCCAATATAACCGACTGCTTTCCACCACACGCAGGGTGTATCCATTCAGAGCCTCTATCCCTCTGTATGGGGGAGCTGTTTTTCTTCTTTCTTTCTTTGTTCTTGCCTATTAAACTTTCCGCTCCTTAAAAATCACTCCATGTATGTCATTTCATTATTCTTAGCGGTGTGAGACAAAGGACCCTGGTGTTTCTCCAGTCATTAGAGTCGTATTATTTTGGTGCATTGGCTGGAATCCAAGGTACGACATTCACTGGAGTGGTGAGTATAGAAGGGACCTTAAAAATCTGTTCTATCATTCTGAGGCACTCTTGGCTTCTAGTTTAAAATCAAAATCAAATCAATTAATGGGAATCCGTCAACTGCTTAAAAATACGCTTATCGTGGCTGCAGTTATAAAGACTTGGATGTCAGGTTTGCTAGTGAGAACATGGAGAACCCTCCATTACTCATGGGTCATTGGGAATGTTGGCCATGTTTTGACTCAGTTTCTTTTCCTGGGGAAACTTAGCCATTACATGAGGCTTGGAAAAGTACTGAAGCAACTGAATTGCTGGCCAGGGCATACCCTGGTGCTATTCAAAGGCTTCTGTACTGCACCCAGCCTCAGTCAGTCTGCTCCAGGTGTTGGTTAAGAATTCCCAGCTATCTTGTCACAAAACTTTCCTTCTTTTTCTATCCACAGTCTCTTACTCTCTCTGTGTGTCGAATATGTGGGAATTTTTACAGTCTAGGGAAGTAATCCTGTTAGTCAAGATCAGGAAATTCTGTAGTAACCAGGGATATAGCTTAGGCAAATGCTGTTGCAATCTTGTAGGAACAGAGACCTCCCGTTTCCCCCACAGTGTGGCCACTCGCTAATAGGCTAATAGTCAGCTTGTGATTACATGGTATTTCTAAGCCAACATCACCACCTCATGAAAAATAGAAATCCTCTTCATAAGACTCATGTGCTGGTTTTCTGCGGTACATTGCAGCCTTCCAATTTTTCCTTTTTATGCCTTTCTACCAGAAACCAGGTTTTATGCTGCTTCTGTGAACAAGGAAACTTCTGCTTTCAACTATTAGGAATAAAACGTCCTCTGCAGCCAAATTTTAGTCCCAACACTGTCCCATCAGCAGGAAAGTCGTCATTAGGTCCCAGTGTCCCTTTAAGGCACCTATTCTCTCTCTGATTAAGATAGTACTTAATTAGTAAGGGGATTTTAAGTACAGAAGTTAGCCAGAACCATTTTTCTAAGGGTAAATTCTTTAGAACGGGCCATAATAGCAGGCAATCTAGCAAATTCCCTCCGTTAAAGGAGGCTTGTCTTTTATGTAGTCTTTCCCAAGATCCATTTTTTGGGAGAACCAGGCAGATCACATAGGTTTAGTAAGTCAAAGGGGAATCACACAGGACAGATAAGCTAAGGTTGCACGGGTAAAGCGTGGTGAGTCCCATCACTTAGTTCATCCAGTTCTATGGTTTGGAGGGTCCTGCTTACAACCATGGGCGGCACATTTAACAGGCTGCCGGGACCCAGGAACCAGGGAGGGAAAACAGTCGGGAGGACACTTCCACTGTCTTCTTCTCCACCTTGGGTTACACAGAAAGGAAGGAGTCTAAAAGGATGCTTTTATTCTTGCTTCTCTTTCTAGACGGGTAACAGATTATCTTCAGCTTGTACCCCTCTGGAGTGCACCCTGAAACACTGGAACTTCTTTGACCTCAGGACATTGAAGAGAAAACCAACTCATTTTCTTTTGCACATGGGCATGGCATTTTTACCAAACCTTTGGAAGCATTGTAAGAGCAACCCAGTTCTTTTAGCAGCCATAGCAGGCAAGCCCACAGGGAATAGTTTCCCAGAGCTGAAGCAGATTTTATAGGAGCAATCTGAGACAGCTATTGAATGTCCCAACCCTTCCAGTTACCCTCATTCAGAACCCCATCCAATCGTACCATCAGTTCCTCCAGCTCCACCATCCTCCGTTATTACCCACTTTCCCCACTTCACCCTTACCTCTACAGGAAATGCCTGATGGAAATGTTGCAATGAGGGTTCAAGTTCCCTTCTCAAATAGGACCCTAGGCAAATAAAGGGAAACTTAGGCTGATTTTCTGATGACCCTGATAGGTATATAGAAACTTTTCACAATTCAACTCAGGTATTTCACCTCACATGGAAAGATGTTATGCTGCTCCCAAACCAAACCCTCACTGCAGCTGGAAAGTAGGCAGCTCTGCAAATAGCAGATAATTTTGGAGATGAGCAATATATCCCCTATAACAAACCAAAAGATAAGTAAGAAGAAAGGGAGAGTGAAGAAATAGCAGAAACACCATTCTCAATTGAAAGGAAAGCAGTTCCCCCTTGACAAACTTGATTGTGACCCCAATAGCTCTGCAGACGAATGGAAAAGGAAGCACTTTTTAACATGCATTTTAGAGGGCCTACAAAGAACTAAGGCCAGACCTCTCAATTACTCTAAACTGACTATGATAAACCAAAAGCCAGAAGAGAATCCTGCAGCCTTTATGGAAAGGCTGAGAGAGGCACTAATAAAACACACCTCTTTATCCCCTGATTCAGTCAAGGGACAGCTCATCCTCAAGGACAAGTTTATTACACAGGCAGCTCCCAATATTAGAAGGAAACTATAGAAGCAAGCTACAGGACCAGAGAACCTTCTGAAGGTGGCCACTTTGGTCTTTTATAATAGGGACCAGGAGGAGACCCAGAAGAAAAAGAGAAAGGTCAGGAAAAGGATAGAGGCTCTAGTAGTAGCTTTATAGGCTTGCAAAGTCCACAGTCTTCTAGCTGCATCTGTTAGTTGCTATCGGTGTGGCAGGCCAGGGCATTTTAAGAAGGAATGCCCAGGCAGCAAGTAGAAGCCACCTCAACCCTATCCAGCCTTTAGAAGAGACCACCAGAGATGAAACTGCCCCAAAAGACAGAGGTCCCTGGGTTCAGAACCAGTCTCACAGATGGTCCAGCAGGAATGATGGGTCCCAGGGCTCAAACCCCCGGCTCCAGCAACTCAGACTGCCGTTACAGCACAGGACCCCGGGTGATTCTGGAAATTGAAGGAAGGAAAGTAGACCTCCTTCTAAACACTAGAGCCAGTCTCTCTCTTTTCTCCTAATCCAGGCCTCCCCTCTTTCCATAGCATGACCGTAAGGGGTATCTCAGGAAAAACTCTAATCCAATATTTTTCTCAACCTTAGTTGCAGTTAGGAAGAACTATTGTTTACACATGCTTCCAAGCCATTGTCATGAGTCAGAAAAGCCTCCAAATTAACCCAAGGAAATAATTTAACTGTTTACACTCCACATATGTGGCAGGATCACTGCCCTCTAGGGGGAGCTCTTAGCTAACAAACAGCCAGTAAAGCAAGAAGTACATAAGGCAGGATAAGCAGTAGTCACTCTAAATAACATTTCATCTCAGACACAAGTGCTCAATTAGCTGAACTACCAGCTCTTACAAATCACTTGAATTAAGCAAGGGAAAGATAGCTAACATTTATACTAACTCCAAGTACGCTTTCTTAGCTTTCTGTGCTCATGCTGCCATTTAAAAGAAAAGACATTCTCTTACCACTACTGGATGTCCTATAAAATAGCAACGGAAAATGTGGTATTAGTGAAAATCTCACATCCCTCCGTCCCTATGTCAAGCTGGCAAGGGCCTTGCACTGTTCTTCTTTCAATCCCCTCGGCAGTAAAGTTACAGGAATCAACTCCTGAATACATTGCACTCAAGTCAAGGCCTGAAGAGCTGGGGGAGCAATCCCTGACAGCACAGAGGAATGTCCTGAATATCAATGGGGAGAAATAGAAGATCTTAAGCTGAAAAGCATAAAAGATAAGTAACTGAGTGAGGACCACTCATCTTACTCAGTCCCACTACTGCCTCACCAGATAATTTTTCTTATTTCTGGCCTTTCCTCTCAAAATTTGCCACCAAATATTATAACTTCTTTTTAACGCATTTTGGCAGGCAGATTTTAATTATTCATAGAATTGCATTTGTAATTTTGCAGATCCCTAAAGGGAAATGTTATATATTGGCAAGTAAAGTTTTAAATGGAAATTATTTACTACACCACTCTTGTGGGAATTATTATAGTCACGCTACTATTTGCAATAGAACTATACACTCTGGCCACACAATGTGGAATTCTGGTAGTAAAATTCTAATTGCTGTAATATTTTGCCTAATTATCATCCTTATAACAAGATTAATAATTGCAGAAAAGATTAACCAAAGTTATTTTGCTTTGGAATAATATCCACAGCAGGAATAATAGCTGTGGATAAGAAGTAAGCATGAAAGTTTTACTATCATTAAGTTTGATAGGACATTTTATTGAAGATTGGTAATATGGTGCACTGTAAGCTATGAAAAGGTTATAAAAAAAAGAGATTTTATATAAGGAAAGATTTTGTATGGTAAATTCTTGTCCTAAAAGGAAATGATTGGTTGTTTAAAGGAAAGATGTTTAGGACAAGTAAGAAAGTTTAAGTATGTTGTAAGAGGGTCTGTGAAAGTCATGAAAGAATTTAATAATTCAAGGAAAGAACTGTCAAGATTAACGCTAAAGTTATTTTAGCCACCCAATAACATATTTCTCATAATCATATTGCAAGTTATAAAAAATAGCCTAAGTCTAAAATTGTTCTCTAATGGCAAGTCAAGGGGGAAATGTATGCTTTTCTCAAGGAAAATGTTACTTTTATATTAAAGTTTCTGCTAATGTACAGCACCATCTAGTGGAGGAAAACCGGTATTACAATACATTGGTGTAACTAACAGGTATCACACTCTACTGTCATAGTTATGGTCTATAGTACCCTAATAATACATTAAGTACACTAATAGTGGTAATCTTAATACTCATATGCTAACTGTATATTTTAAATTTCCTTGTAAAATTTATTTCTTTTTGCCAAGAAGCAATCAAACTCCAAATGGTGCTGCAAACCAAACCACGCATGGACACACCATTCTTCTGAGAACCATTAGATCAACCTCAGTAGGAGGCCCAAATGCTGTTCCCCCACACAACACCCCTTTTCAGCAGGAAATAGCCAGAAAGAATTGTCATCCAACACCCCCTAGCAGCAGTTAGGTTTACTTCTCCAGAGGGGGGAAATAATACAGGAGTTAAGAAATCATTTTTAGGCAGCTTGAAAGTGTGGAAGTTATCAGTGGAATTTTTCTTTAATAAAAAGCAACCTCCGAACAATTTCCTTTCTAACAGAAAGTGGCTTGAACAACCAGACCAGCAAGCATGAATGTTCACATACCAATGGCTAGAAACCAGATCCACCCAACATGGCAGTTCCTTCCCTCTTCTCCTTGTCACCACGTGTGACAAGTGTCATGGCTGTCTCCGGATAACACCATGTGTGCAGGACATTATGGTGATCCACATTTGCATCTTAAAAGGCTAGGGTAGGAGGACCAGTTTTTTCCCGGCTACATGAATGACACACCTGGTCAAACCAATCCCCTGGGCCCTATGCAAATCAAACACTGCCTCTTCCAGACTCTCAGTATAACCTACTGCTTTCCACTGCACATGTGGTATCTCCATTTAGAGCCTCCCTCCCTCTGTACAGGGAAGCTGTTTTTCTTCTTTCTTTCTTCTTTCTTGTTTATTAAACTTTCTGCTCTTTAACACTGTTGTGGGAATGAGGAGACCAGAGAGACCAATGGGTGGAACAGAAGGATTTTATTTAGGCGGCCACCAGCTCAGCAGATTAATATGCAGAGGCTGAGCAACAAATGAAGTCAGGGCTTGACTTTTATTCATACAACCAAAGTGGAGGTGGCTTGCCCGTGGCGTGAAACTTGCAGGGCGGGGAAAGCAAGCTTACAGAAGCAGAACAAAGGCAGTCATAGTTATGGTCTGTAATCAAACTTAATCAAACTGTGACAGGTTCCTAACTCAGGCTTACATGTGACTCTTGCTATGCAGGCCAGGTGGCTGTTATCTAGGTTTGCTCAAGATGCCTGCACAGCCTTATCTTGTGTCCTTTGCTATGGCACCCAGAGGGCTGCAATCTAAGCTTGCTCAAGCATGTCTCATGACCTCAGTGGTGCTACTCCGATGAAAAAACAGAGACTTACAGACACCAGTTACAGAAAACAGGAAACCATAAACTCATAAAAACTTGCAGAGCAGGGTACAATCGCACAGAAGGGGGAGGGATTCGAGGGGAAAGCTGCTCATACCAAGGGAAAGAGGGAATATTTGTTTTTCCTCTCACATCTCCTGCTTCATCACCACTTGATGTGTGTCCATGTTGTTGATCTTACTGGCATGAGACAAAGGACCCTGGTGTTTCTCAAGTCATCAGAGTTGTATCAATAAGATGGGAATGCTACTGTAACTACTGCACATTTCTAAGAAGTATTTAGGGAAATCCAAACACAAAAGGGAAACAAACAGTAGAAAAAGCAACAGAGGAAATTTTAGCCTCTGAACCCTGTAACTACAGCAAACAGCTAAGATAGCCTAACCCCTAGACAGGTATGTAAAACCTCACACTGAAAACCAATACAGTTTTGTTTATTTGTTTGTTTACCCTGTACATCATGTACAACTTTAAACAAAAATTACAACACATACTAAAACACAAACACAGTTTGAACAGACAAAGCAAGTATCAGAATCAGATATGGCAGAGATAGTAAAATTATCAAATCAAAAATTTAAAACAACTATGATTAATATGCTAAGAGCTCTGAAAGAGTGAATAACATATAAAACACATAAGTAATATAAGCAGATAGTAAAAACTATACAAATTAATTTTTTTTAAATGCAAGAAATGAAAATCGAATAGAAATTAAAAGTGATTTTGATGATTTGATGGTCTTATCAACAGTTTGGAAATCACCAAGATAAGAATAAGTAAGTTGTAAAAAAAAAAAGTCAGTAGAAACTTCCAAAATTAAAATGCAAAAAAAAAAAAAAGTAATTAAAAAGCCAGGACAGAATATACAAGAACTCTAGGAAAATTTTTAAAAAGGTATAATATATGTATAACGGGAATATGAGTGGAAGAAAAAGATAAGGGACAGGAGATATAATTGAAGCAATGAGTGAGAATTTTCAAAAACAAAAAAAAAAGGGAAGAAAATGAAACTAAACTACAGATAGCTCTAGGAAGCTTAGCAAACACCAGGAAGATAAAACAAACCAACAAGAAGAAAAAAAAAGAAAGAAACTCTAGCTGTAGGCATGTCATATTTAAACTGCAGATATCAGACAAGGAAAAACATCCTGACAGAAGGCACGGGAAAAAATATATCTTACAGAGAAAGAAGGATAAGAATTAAATATTACGGCTGGCCTTGGTGGCTCACGCCTGTAATCCCAGCACTTTGGGAGGCTGAGGCGGGTGGATCACGAGGTCAGGAGATCAAGACCATCATGGCTAACACAGTGAAACCCCATCTCTACTAAAAATACAAAAAATTAGCTGGGTGTGGTGGTGGGCGCCTGTAGTCCCAGCTACTCGGGAGGCTGAGGCAGGAGAATGGCGTGAACCTGGGAGGCAGAGCTTGCAGTGAGCCGAGATTGCACCACTGCACTCCAACCTGGGCGACAGAGCAAGACTCTGTCTAAAAAAAAAAAAAAAAAAAAAAAAATTAAATATTACTTATTTTCAGATACCATGCAAACAAGGATAAAATGGTGTGAAATATTTAAGTAGTTGAGATAAAATAATTGTGAAAGGAAAATATATTGGGCCTCTTCAAGCTGGGAACCCCTCAGGGCAAATATGCCTCCCATTCTATTCAAAGTCATCCCTCTGCTTACAAAGATAGATTCATACTGTGATTGCTTCCCTTGGAAAGACTTATCAGAAACTCAAAAGAATACAACCATCTGCCTCTCACCTACCTGTAACCTGGAAGCCCCCAGTTGGGGGACCTTAACTTGAGTTGTCTCCACCTTTCTGGAAAGAACTAATGTACTTCTTACACATATTGATTGATGTCTCATATCTCCCTAAAATGTATAAAACCAAGCTGTGCCCTGACCACCTTGGGCACACGTCCTCAGGAATTCCTGAGACTGTATCACAGGTGCATCCTCAACCTTGATAAAATAAACTTGCTAAATTAACTGAGACCTGTCTCAAATTTTTGGGATTCACATAATCATCAACCAGGAATTCTAATTTCAGCAAAAATTATCCTTCAGAAATCTAAAAAGAAATAAAGATGTTTTAGATAAACAATAATTCGAAGAATTTTTTGCCTAAAGATCTGCCTTGTAAGACACGTTAAAAAAATTAGAAAGAAAAATTGATATAGATCAAAAACTTAAATCTACATAAAAGGAAGAAAGAGCATTAGCAAAGGAATAATTGAAGGTAAAATAAAATCTTTCATCTTTCGTATTCTTAATGTATCTAATGGATAAGTGTTTGACCACAATAATAATAGCAATGATGGCATTGGTGATTATAGCTTATGGACAAGAAAATTTTATAGCAGTAATGTTACAAAGGATGAGAGGAAGGAATTGGGAATATGCTACTATAAAATACTTGCATTATCTGGGAGGTGGTATTGTGTTCATTGAAAGTGGGCTTCGATTAGTTGTAAATTTTTATAGCAATCACAAAGGCAACCACTAGAAAAAGTTTTATAAAAAGTATAGTAAATACGCTAAGAGAAAAAAATTAAATTATATAAGATCTTAAATGAAAACCAAAGAAGGGAGAAAAAGAATGAAATATAAAACAAAGAAAGAGGCCAATAAGAAGGGGAACAAATATAATACATATTAATTCAACTATGTTAATAAGCATTTTTAATGTCAATGATCTAAATACACTAATTAAAAATAGAGACTGTCAATAAATAGGGAAGAGAGAATGTATTCTAACTAATTTTATGAGGAAAGCATTATGCTAATGCCTAAACCACACACAAATATTACAATAAAGGAAAGCTGCAGGCCAATATCTCCCATGAACATAATACAAAAATCTTTAACAAAATATTAGCAAATTAAATCCAACAATTATAAACAGAAGTATACACCAGTGGAATTGATTCCTAGCATTTAAGGCTGGGTCAATACATAAACCAAATATAAAATTCAAATTCCCCCCAATCATCTGAATGAACCTCCTCTTCTAGAACAGGGTCCCCCAAATGTAACCTCCAAGACTGGTTCAGGCTATGATGGGAAGTGGAAGTCAGACATGCTTCAGTATTTCTTCCTCCCTTTGGGAATTCAGAAAAAGCAGAAGAGCATTTAACATCAACACACACCTTAAGTCTGATAAGAAACATTTACAATCTATGCTCTCTGAAGCCTGCTACCTGGAGGCTCCATCTGCATAATAAAACTTTGGTCTCCACCACCTCTTGTCATAACCCAGACGTTCGTTTCTATTGGTAATAGCTCTTTCAACCAATTGCCACTCAGAAAATTTTTAAATTTCCCTATAAACCTGGAAGCCCCCACTTTGAGTTGTTGAGCCTTTCTAGACCAAACCAATGTATATTTTGAATGTATTTGATTGATGTCTCATGTTTTCCTTAAGTGTATAAAACCAAGCTGCACTGTGGCCGCTTTGGGCACATATTCTCAGGGTCTCCTAAGGGCTGTGTCATAGGCCATGGCCACTCATATTCAGCTCAGAATAAATCTTTTCACATATTTTACAGATTTTGACTCTTTTTGTTGACAATAATGTGGTGCCCAAACATGTGGGGCCTCAGAAAAGACTCAGGACCATGAAGTTGCCTGAACCTGGAGTTAAGGTACCAGCTGGAACCCATTGAAAGCCTCCCTTGACTTAGAGCTTCTTCTCTGGTAGAACTGGTAAGTCCTCCTGAGCCCCAGACCTCCCTTTGGTTGATGGTCCTTGACTTATTTTGAGCAGTTTATTTATTTATTGTTATGTATTTATTTATTCCTAGAAAGCTGTTGTTTAGATTCCTAATACTAGTTTGGAGGTGTATTCTAAATGGCCTTCTCCATTGCCTTTTTCTAAAAACAACGAGAACACTCCACTTTCAGGCACCCCGGTGCTAGTTCAGAAGTGCGTTCTAAAGGGTCATCTCCATTGTTTTTTCTCCCCAATTAATCTCAATTTGGTTTGCTTATGCATTTGCATGAGAAACTGAACTCTTGTATTCATAGATAAATGAGAGACTGAGTTTTCTCAGTTCTGAAGAGAAAGGGCATTTTGCTCCTCTCAACTGAAAGGCACTCCTAGGTGACCAGTCATTGAGTGAGAGTGTTTGAGGGGTTGATCCCTTGTAACCTGTAGCAACCCGAGAGGGAACCCCTAACAAAATTAGTTTCAGAAGGCTAATCCAGGAGATATATATAGGAGGTGGTCATTCCATTCTTTGTGTCCTCCTGGAGGTGTTAGACCTCTGGAGGGAGAAACTGAGGCACATAAAAGGGCAGAAATGACTCAGTGGTGACACACTATAGAGTTCCATCCACAATCAGCACATTTTGACACACTACACTAAAGCCTAGGCCACAGTCCAGTGTCTCCATTAAAATAAGTAGTGGGAAACAAATAATCTAAGAATGAGGAAAACACAAAGAGAATGACCCACTTTCAGAAAAACAATTTGTTTGACGGCACCTCTACTTGCAAGTATTGGTGTAAAACAGACATATTATGCTATTTTTGTGCACACTTACATGAGGAAAAAAGAGCCTAAAAGTCGATGTTCAAACTATAGAATTCCTAAATTCTCTATTTCCCTATTTTCTTTTCTTCCTGCTTTAAATCTGCTGTTACTTTTCTACTAACATAAAAACCAGTGTTGGGTAGGGTTCTGAAGTAAAATGTATAGAATCTTTATGTGTGTGTATGTGTGTGTGTGCATGTGTATATATATTCATGCATACACACACATATGTGATACACACGCACAAGAGGCCTTTATATATTTTTTTTCCAGGACTTTGTTCTTTTTGAGAATTTTTTTCTCTTCTTAGTTTACTGAATTCTGTTTTCTCAATTTACTTCTGCTTGTCTCTCCTATCTCTTGTCACCCTCTGCTTCATGAGGGATATAAAATAGTTTCTAACAGCCTGGGATTCCTTAAAGAAAACAGACAAGGTGCCAGACTGGTACCCATGGCTGAGAAACCTGAAGATGGTTCACATCACAGTACTCTGTGAAGACATCTCACAGTACCAGCCCAGAGCCTGGTAGCCCTGCTGGCTGGCTAGATCCAGAAAAGAAAAAAACAATTGTTACAGTTCAGCTCTCAGGAAGCCACATCCCTAGTAAAAGCGGGAGAGCACTACATCAAGGGAGCACATTGTGGGACAAAAAATTCTGAACAGTAGCCTTGAGCCCCAGATCTTCCCTCTGACGTAACCTATCCAAATGAGAAGGAACCAGAAAAAAATTCTGCTAATATGACAAAACAAGGTCCTTTAACGCCCCCAAAAAATCACACTAGCTCACCAGCAATGGATCCAAACCCAGAAGAAATCCCTGAATTGCCAGTAAAAGAATTCAGAAGATTGATTATTAAGCTAATCAAAGAGGCACCAGAGAAAGGTGAAGTCTAACTTAAGGAAACCAAAAAATGATGTAAGATATGAGAGGAAAAATCTTCAGTGAAATAGATAGCATACATTAAAAACAATAAAAACTTCAGGAAATAAAGGGCACACTTAGAGAAATGCAGAATATACTGGAAAGTCTCAGCAATAGAATTAAATAAGCAGACAAAAGAATTTCAGAGCTCAAAGACAAGGTTTTCAAAAGAACCCAATCAAAGATAATTTTTTTAAAAAATTAACAAAGCTTCCAGTAATTTTGGGATTCTGTTAAATGACCAAACATAAGAATAATTGAGGTTCTGGAGGAAGAAGAGAAATCTAAAATTTGGAAAACATATTTGAAGGAATAATCAATAAAACTTCCCAAGCCTTGCTAGAGATCTAGACATCCAAATACATGTAGCTCAAAGAACACCTGGGAAATTTATCACAAAAAGATCATCACCTAGGCACATAGTCATCAGGTTATCTAAAGTCAAGACAAAGGAAAGAATATTAAGAGCCATGAGGCAAAAGCACCAGGTAAATGTAAATAATATATTAAATATATTTAATAAATAAATACATATAATTAATATATAGTTATATGTTAAATAAAGTAAATATATATTTACTGGTACATATTTATTAATAAGTATATACATAAATCAGTATTTCTTTATTTATCTCAGACCACAGTGGAATAAAATTGGAAATCAACTCCAAAAGGAACCTTCAAAATCATGCAAATACATGAAAATTAAATAACCTGCTGATAAGGATCATTGCGTCAACAAGGAAATCAAGATGGAAATTGAAAAATTCTTTGAACTGAATGATAATAGTGACAAAACCTATCAAAAACTCTGGGATACAGCAATGGCAGTGATAAGAGGAAAGTTCATAGCCTTAAATTGCCTACATCAAAAAGTCTGGAAGAGCGCAAATGGACAATCTAAGGTCACACCACAAGGAACTGCAGAAAAAAGAACAAACCAAACCCAGCAGAAAAAAAAAGAAATAACCAAGATTGGAGCAGAACTAAATAAAATTGGAACAAAAATACAAAAGATAAATGAAACAAAAAGCTGTTTTTTTGAAAGGATATATAAAATTGATAGATCATTAGCAAGATTAACCAAGAAGAGAGAATATCCAAATAAGCTCAATTAGAAACAAAATGGGAGATATTACAACCAACAGCACAAAAATACAAAAGATTATTCAAGGCTACTATGAAAACCTTTACATGCATAAACTAGAAAACCTAGAGGAGATGGATAAACTCCTGGAAATACACAATCCTCCTAGCTTAAATCGGGAAGAATTAGGAACCCTGAACAGACAATAACAAGCAGTGAGATTGACATGGTAATACAAAAATTGCCAACAAAACATAGTCCAGGACCAGATGGATACACAGCTGAGTTCTACCAGACATTCAAAGAAGAATTGGTACCAATCCTATTGATGCTATTCCACAAAATAGAGAAAGTGGAAATCATTCTATGAAGCCAGGGTCTCCCTAATACCAACAGCAGGAAAACACAAAATGAAAAGAGAAAAATACAGACCAAAATATCTGATGAACATATATGCAAAAATCCTCAACAAAATGCTAGCTAACCAAATCCAACAGCATTTTAAAAAGATAATACACCATGATCAAGTGAATTTCATACCAGTGATGGAGACATGGTTTAACATATGCAAGTCAATAAATGTGATACATCATATAAACAAAATTTCTTTTAAAAAAATCACACAATCAACTAAAGAGACAAAGAGAAAGCATTTGATAGAATCCAGCATCCCTTTAAGATTAAAACCCTCAGCAAAATCAGCATACAAGGGACATACCTTAAAGTAATGAAAGCCATTTATGACGAACCCACAACCAACATAATACTGAACAGAGAAAATTTGAAAGCATTACCTCTGAGGAATGGAACAAGACAAGGATGTCCACTCTCACCACTTCTAGTCAACATAGTACTGGAAATACTAGCCAGAGCTATCAGACAAGAGAAAATAATAAAGAGCATCCAAACCACTAAAGAGGAAGTCAAACAGTCACTGTGTACTGATGATATGATCATATACCTTAGAAAACACAAAAGAAGCCCCTCCACAAAGATTCTAGAACTGTTAAATGAATTCAGCAAAGTTTCAGAATAAAGATTTATGTACACAAATCAGTAGATCTGCTACACATCAACAGCAACCAAGCTGAGAATCAAATCAAGAACACAATCTCTTTTACAATAGCTGCAAAAAATAAAATAAAATAAAATAAAATACCTGAGAATATACCTAACCAAGGAGGTGAAAGACCTCTATAAGGAAAACTACAAAACACTGCTGAAAGAAATCATACTAGACACAAACAAATGGAAATACACCCAGGCTCACAGATGGATAGAATCAATATTGTCAAAATGACCATACTGCCAAATGTAATCTACAAATTCAATGCAATTTCCATCAAAATACAACCATCATTCTTCACAGAACTAGCAAAAACAATTCCAAAATTCATATGGAATGAAAAAAGAACCCACATAGCCAAAACTAAGCAAAAGGAACAAATCTGAAGGCATCACATTACCTGACTTGAAACTATACTACAAGCCTATAGTCACCAAAACAGCATGGTACTGGCATGAAAATAGACACATAAACCAATGGAACAGAATAGAAACCCAGAAATAAAGCTAAATGCTTACAGCCAACTGATCTTTGACAAAGCAAACCAAAACATAAAGTGGGGAAAGGACACCCTATTCAACAAACGATGCTGGGATCATTGGCAAGCCACATTTAGGAGAATGAAACTGGATCCTCATCTCTCATCTTATACAAAAATCAACTCAAGCTAGATCAAGGACTTAAATGTAAGACCTGAAACCATAACAATTCTAGAAGATAACATCAGAAAAACCCTTCTAGACATTGGCTTAGGCAAAGACTTCATGAACAAGAAACCAAAAGCAAATGCAACAGCAACAAAGATAAATAGGTGAAACTTAATTAAACTAAAGAGCTTCTGCACAGCAAAAGGAACATTCAGCAGAGTAAACACACAACCCACAGAGTGGAAGAAAATCTTCACAATCTATACATCTGACAAAGGACTAATATCCAGAATCTACAAGGAATTCAAACAAATTAATAAGAATAAACAAGCAATCCCATCAAAAAGTGAAAATAGACAATTCTCAAAAAAAGATATACAAATGGCCAACAAACATATGAAAAAATGCTCAACATCACTAATAATTAGGGAAATGCAAATCAAAACCACAATGCAATTCCACCTTACTCCTGCAAGTATGGCCATAATAAAAAAATAATAGATGTTGGTGTGGATGTGGTGGAAAGGGAACTCTTCTACAATGCTGGTCAGAATGTAAACTAGTACAACCACTATGAAAAACAGTGAGGAGATTCCTTAAAGAACTAACAGTAGACCTACCATTTGATTCAGCAATCAAACTACTGGGTATCTACCCAGAAGAAACGGTCATTATACGAAAAAGATACTTAGACATGCATGTTTATAGAAGCACAATTTGCAGTTGCGAAAATATGGAACCAGCCCAAATGCCCATCCATCAACCAGTGGTTAAAGAAATTACTACTCAGCCATAAAAGGAACAAATTAATGGCATTCGCAGCAACCTAGATGGAACTGGAGACTATTATTCCAGGTGAAGTAACTCAGGAATGGGAAACCAAACATCATATGTTCTCACTCATAAGTGGGAGCTAAGTTATGAGAATTCAAAGGCATAAGAATGATACAATGAACTTTGGGGACTGAGCGGAAAGGGTGGGAAGGGGATGAGAGATAAAAGACTACAAATTGGGTTCAGTGTATACTGCTCGGGTGATAGGTGCACCAAAATCTCACAAATCACCACTAAAGAACTTACTCATGTAACCAAATGCCACCTATTTCCCTAAAGACTATAGAATAAAAAATTTGAAAAAAACTTGATAAAAAAGAAATGAGCAAGATTGACTTGTGTAGTAAATTATACATAACATAAAATTTTTTTTTAATCATTTTCAAGTATATTGTTCAGTGTTGTTAAGTGCATTCAAATTGTTGTGCTGTCAATACCACCATCCATTTCCAGAACTCTTTCCTTTTTCCAAACTGAAACTCTCTACCCATAAATAATGACTCCACATATGTCCCATCCCTGATCATTTTGCAAACATCATTCAACTTTCTATCTTTAGAAATTTGACTAATCTGGGTACCTCAAATAATTAGAATCATACAGTATTTGTCCTTTTGTTATTAGCTTATTTCATTTAGCATAATATGTTTTCAGTGTTTACCCAAGTTGAAGCATGTCTCAGAATTTCCTTTATTTTTTAAGACATTATTTCATACCACATTTTGTTCATCCATTCATCTTTCAATGGACATTTCCATTGTTTCCACCTTTTTGGCTATCGTGAGTATCATTGTTGTGAACATTAGTTTATTAAGATTTGTTTACATACTTGATTTAAATTCCTTTGGTTGTATATGCACAAGTGGAATTGCTGAATTGTATAAGTGTCTGTTTAATTTTTGGAGAAACAGATTGTGTTATTGAATATTATAATATTTTTGAATATTGTAAAAGCTTCATGAAAACTATTTAATATTTAATGAAACATAAATAGTTAATGTGTTAGAATAGATACAAGTGGAAGCTAAAATTTTGTTTCATAAAAGGGCCTTTTAAGTCAGTGGTGAAAGATGTTAGTCAATAAATAGTGTCAGAACATAAATTATTTTTGTAACAAAGAAGGACTTCTATTTCATCATTCAGATTGAAATAAATGCCAGTTTAAGAAAATGTTTTAATGAGACATTTGGCATCTTTTGATAATGTTACACGAACACACAAGTGAACTTTAGAATAATCTATGAGGAAATTCCTTTCTAGGAATACAAGGTACATATTATCAATGTTCACTAATATCTGAATATAGTCTTCTGTTTACACAGTTTGGTTGCACTTCCTTAATCTCTTGAATTTAGGTGAGACCACAAAAATTATTTCAACAAGCATATGTGAATAGAAACAATTATAAAGGCAAAACTCTCCTTTTACCACTACGGTTGGTGATATTGTAAATGGTGGAAGCTCGTTCTGCCTGGGATTTAGAATTGACATGTGTATTAAGTAATAAACGACACTTTGTCGTTTGACCCAATGAAATTCGGAGCTTAGCACTTTATTATCACCTGGCCTATGCTGACTAATAACCACTTGACATGTAACAGGAACAATCAAGAAACAGTGCTGATCAATTTAATGCTTACAATTAAATCATTTTTCACATGTATAGTCATAAAGAAATCACAACAACTAATACAAACAGAATAAAGTGTGTTTCCTGCATTTTTGCTAAAAAAAACAGCTTTCATTATTCAATAAGAAAAAAATAGAAACTTGAACAAAGACATAAATGACCAATTGGCATGTATCAATATTTAATGTCATTAACAATTCAAAAAATCAACTTTGGGGTAACTATGGAAGTCTATACTTTACTAAAAAGATTGACAAAGAATAAAGAGTTTACTGGAAAAATACCAGAGTATTCATCTACTGTTGATGCACTCTTATAGTGGAAGATGTGAATATATCTGTCAAATTTTATGAGGTCCTTTCCTTGACAAACCAAATTTACATCTAAGAATAAATGTTATCGCACTAGTCACAAAAATACAGACAGGCACATGCTCACCAGGTGGGCTTTGACAAAGTAATGGTATAGGGATAGGACAGAGTGATGTATCATCATCAGACTACATAAGGCCTCATATCTATGCTAATATGGAAAAATCTCCAAGAAACATTTTTAAGAAGAAGAAATTCTCATAATTTGGTGGCCTACATAGCATCCACTCTCTCAAAAATAGTGAGGTATTTTCTAAAATTAAATGCATAGCTGAGCTTATGAGAAATAAAGGAAATTCTTAGTGACCAGAAAAAAATAAGGGACCTGAAAACCAAATAAGCTAGTGACTTGACACCTTGGATAATGGGAATATGGGGAAGGGGAATATCAAAAATCTAAGACCTCCTGTTACAATTTCAGCAGTGGGATGGGAGATAAGGTTTTGTACCCATATGAAGTGGAGAATCAACACACGTTCCATTGTACAATGTTGAATCTCATAAAGTATTATATTTCCAGTAAAGAGTGAAAAGAGTGAACCATGGAGGAAAAAAAATCAACCATTAGCCACATGAAGGGAACAAAGAATCTCCTCTCTGATTCTGAATATGAGAAGAACAAATTTTCGACTGGGAATTTATAATACATTTAAGCCACATATGAGTCTTGTAATTCAGTTTGTATGACACACACAGTTTGTTCTCTGACTAGTGTTATTTGGAGAAAATACTACAAGACATATAACTTTAAAAGCCCTTGAAAACAGAAATTTAAGACCATACTTGCAAATTACTCATGAGTCAAACATAATAAAATTATTAAAATATTTTAAATTAAATAAAGAAATTAATGCACATAAACACATGTGTATTGTCACTAAAAATATGCCAAGGCAAAATTTAGAGATTCATATTTCTACTAGCAAATAAGAAATGAATTATGCATCCAACTACAGAAGGTAGAAAGAGAACAACAGCAAATAAGAAATGAATTATGCATCCAACTACAGAAGGTAGAAAGAGAACAACAGCAAAACTCAAGGAAAATAGAAGTATATCATAATGTTAAGAGAAAAAATAAAGAAAAATAAAATAAACAATAAGGAGACGAAAAAAGACCCGAAGCTGATGCTTTGAACAGACTAACAAAATAAGAAATTAAAAAAGAAACCTTTGTTAAAATGCATTAAAACATTAAAAATATGAGAAGCCAATAATTCTGTGAGGTTAAATGTTTTAGAAATAGACACACTACTATGCATAGCCCACATGTTGGTAAATAAAGTGGATAAGTTTCTAAAATGAATGAAGCATATCCAGACTTTCTCAGAAAGAGTGAAAAAGTATAAATATTTAACAAATAATACATTAAATAGGCTGGGGGTGGCGGCTCACACCTGTAATCCCAACACTTCGGCGGCCGAGACTGGTGGATAGTTTGAGCCCAAGAGTCCGAGGCCAGCCTGGGCAACATGGCAAAAACACATCTCTACAAACAATACAAAAAAAGTCAGGCATGGTGGCACGCACTTGTAGTCCCAGCTACTCTAAAGGCTGAGTTGGGAGGACCACTTGAACTAGGGAGGTCAGGACTGCAATGAGTCACAAGTGTACCACTGTACTGCAGTCTGGGTGAGAGTCAGACTGTGTCTCAACTAAATAAATAAACAAGTCAAAATCAACTTCCTCTCCCTTTCTCTCTCTATAAAACAAACTATATAGCTTGAACATTTTAAGAAGAAAGCTTTACCAAACTATATAAGAGGAAAAAACCTAATATTATTTAAATTATATCAGAAAATAAAAAGATACCACACAAATCAGCTTTGATGCCAGTATAACCTTGATACCAAAACCAGAAACAAGAAACTTAGATCTTGAAAACATAAGATGAAATCTACTTACGGACATAAACTAAAAATTTCTAAATAAGATATTTGTTAACTTAATTCAGAGAATTTATGAATGTTTTCATTCTAGAAAAAGTTTTAATGTAAATCATAACACTAACAAGTTATTTTACATATATAATGTTTGTTTGTAAGACTTCCTAAAATGTTTGTGTAAACACATTAATTAAAAAATATAAATAATTAGAAAATAGGCAATCTTTTATTAATATATCACTTTTATTAATATGCCACCAAAACATTTAACATAATTTTTATGTAGTATATTTAAGGAATAAGACAGAAATATTTACTACCCCAATACACATTCAACATTAACCTGGATATCCTAAGCAGTTTAGTGAGACAAGACAAAGAAGAAAAACGGCCTAATTTTTTTTTTTTTTTTTTTTTTGAGACGGAGTCTTGCTCTGTCACCCAGGCTGCAGTGCAGTAGTGGCGCAATCTCGGCTCACTGCAAGCTCCACCTCCCAAGTTCATGCTACTCTCCTGCCTCAGCCTCCCGAGTAGCTGGGACTACAGGTGCCCACCACTATGCTCGGCTAATTTGTTTTTGTATTTTTAGTAGAGACGGGGTTTCACCGTGTTAGCCAGGATGGTCTCGATCTCCTGACCTCATGATCTGCCTGTCTCGGCCTCCCAAAGCCTAATTTTTTGTTGTTGTTGTTATTTTTCCATCCCTCACCAGGACAGCCTCACATTTTCAAAAGTAAGACAAAAACTGTCATTGTTTTTAGATGGTCTAAATATCTATGCACGAAAACAAAAAGAATATGTGGGGCAGGCACGGTGGCTCACACCTGTAATCCCAGCACTTTGGGAGATTTACAAGTAAATAAAATTAAACTTGATGAGATAAGATTTAAAGTGCTTGGTTTCCCTATGAATAATTTAGAAAAATATATTTGTAGGCAATTTGTCACATCAACAAATATTTATTTTTGAAAATTGTCTTCATGATATTTCACATGTGTGTATTACATACAATCATAAAAAATACAATTAAGTCGTTAGGAAAAGAATGTTCAAAAAAGCATCACAATAACCTGAATTTGAATTTTAAACATGTTGATTTAAATAACCAAATTTGAATTTGTATTTATACAGTATAGATTTTAAGCAGGTTTCTAAGTATGTGACATCCCAATGTTCCCCATTTAAAAGTCTTGCAAAAGATGTATTCTTGATCTTTAATTATTATATTCACTTTTGTATCCTACTCTTGATTTGGTAGCATAAAAATAATAAAAATTATTTCAGCAAGAACAACTGTCATGCAGAATCCCAGACAAGTTGTAATTTTAACATAACATTTCACTTAAATACAGCTTAATTAATTCACTGCTGATCATTTTTATTATAATAGGGTAACATTTTACTTAAAGTTGCTACACAGATAAGGAAACACTGTATCTGGGTAATTGGAGCATTTACCTGCATTTTTTTTCTGCCTTTTTCATTATTATTATGTTGAAGATGAAATGGTCTAATGAGGAAAATAAGTCAATCAAGATCAACTACTATTTATTTCTTCAGTTGTAAACTGAATCAAGTTGAAGCAAATTTATCAGATTATTTAATCTTAAAAAAAAGTTTCTAAACACTTTTGTATTTGAAAAAAATTGAAACATATTGCTAAATAACAGTTTAGGTTTTATTTCTAAAAGGAATATAAAAATACCTCTATCAACACTATTTTAAATATGATACTTTGATTTTTTTCTGTCTATCCATTAAGATTTTTCTTAATTCTCCACTCTAGAGTATGTATCTCTTCTCATATCATGCACATTCACTTAAGGTTAGTTATTACATCCTAAACATCAGAAATATACCCATTTATTTACTTTAATATTTGTCTACCCAGTAGACTGCAACATCTATAAAATCAAAGTACATCCTGATAGAACCTAATGGAAAGAGCCTGGGATCTGGTGCCAGCCTACCTAGTTTGTATCCTAGTTATACCACTTGTTAGATATGGAAACTTGGACAAGTTATTTAAACTCTCAGTGTCTCAATTCCTTATGTGAGAAACAAAGATCATCCTCAAAGAGTTGTGAAAATTTAATAAATATATTAAATATATTAAATGCTTTGCCCAACACAATGTAAGAACTATATAAACGTTAAGCATTATTTGTTGCTGTAGTCTTAACCCTTTTTCCCAGTGTCTAGTAGAATGTTTGACACATGGGGCATGTAACGAACATTTGTTGAATAAATGCATGAATAAATACATAAATATTCAGTACTTCTAATAGCGTATCAGTGATGGCACTTCACACAGAGACTAAAGAGGAAAAGGTTTAGTCTAGTAGGGGAAACAGACACATGAATAGGCAGAATGGTAAAAAAAAAATAAAAAATTACAATAAAGTTTGTATGGTAACACATCAGAGAAGATGCTATCCCTACCTAGAAAAACAGGGAAGTTCTCTGGACAAATATAATAGCAGTATAATAGATGAAAAACCACAATAATATTGAAAAAATCTAGTTTTAGTAGACATTCTACACTTTCTCTTTGGAAATTTATCAATATGAGGAGATTTATTATTTTTTAGTTCTCTAGTTCTCTGTGTAAGTAATTTTTATTATCCTACCTAATTGGAGGAGGGCAGGGATTGAGAAGAGAAAATACTTGTGGAAAGTCAATATATACTATAAAACATTATGTAAGCATAAGATTTCTTTTTTGGTGGTATAAATGTTCATACAGCAAAAAGTGCATCAGCTGGCTGAACAGCCACTACATGTTCTTTTCAACCTGTTTTAAGAGCACTCTAAATATGGTAACAGCAAATGTTTTATTATTTCAGTTTATTTCATAATTTTGTCTCCATTCATTCTTTAACTTCTTCTTGTGAATTTGTCTTTATTGGAATTCCAAATCAAACAAATTACACAACTGAATAACTGCTGCATTTTAATGTCTAAAGAAGAAAGAAAAAGCCTTAGGTTTTGTAAACATAGTTAAAAAGCAGACTGTTGGCCTGGCGCGGTGGCTCACGCCTCTAATCCCAACACTTTGGGAGGCCGAGGCGGGCGGATCACCTGAGGTGAGGAGTTCACGACCAGCCTGGCCAACATGGCGAAACCCCGTCTCTACTAAACATACAAAAATTAGACAGGCGTGGTGGCAGGCACCTGTAATCCCAGCTACTCAAGAGACTTGAGGCAGGGAGAATTGCTTGAACCTGGGAGGAGGAGGCTGCAGTTAGCCAAGACGTTCCATTGCACTCCAGCTTCAGTGACAGAGCGAGACTCCAGCCCAAAAAAAAAAAAAAATAGCAGACTGTTTTGCAGATGTGTTAACAGTATGTAATTCTTTTAGGATCACATAAAAAGAGAATTTGGATAAATATAGAATACATAAATACAAATCTGTAAGAATATGTTTTATATTATTTTCTGGTATTTTTTAAACAATAAATATTTAGTGTGAAATAAAGGTGAAATGCAGATTAAGATAATTTCAAGGCTTTAACTCTTAGATCAGCCAAAGGTTTCTACTGTGTTGATCTGGCGTTAGACACTATTTACATTTCAAGTGAATAGTTTTAGATGACTCTAATTAAAAATAATTTCACACTTTCCAAAACTTTTTTTTTTCTGGTATCAAGTAACTTTGAAAAACATTTGTAGTCTCTGGATGCCAGATGAGTCTAGCAATGAGAGAATCAGCAGATAACAATTTGCCTAAGGGAAATTTAGCTCCCTAAATCATGCTTGGCATGGAAGTATAATTAGCCATTTGCTCACATTCTGTGTCTGTTTGCTTACTTGCTTATTTAAATGAGTTCTCATCCTTTCTATTACAAATTGCTATTTATTTTGGACTAGAGTTGTCTTATCTGAAGCTTATCTTAATATTTTCAGAGTACCTTGGAATACCCTAATATATGCTTCTTCATATTTTCAGCTAAAACTCTGCTCATTAGTCTTCTATATATTAAGATATTAAACTTTACTTCATAGCTTTTCTAAATCACAGAAGCCTGAACATAAAACACTTGAAACTTACAAAATGCTATATTCTTAGACTTTGATTAGAAGGAGCTTAGAAGTTGTCACTCTGACCTAACAAGTAAAAAGATAAACAAACTGAAATAGCAGCAACTCTTTTTGTGTCTGTCAAAGAAGTGAGGTCACAGGGCAACATGCTGCCTAAAAAACTGGAGGGATAGACAAATGATTTATATATAGAAAATTACAATTTATCAGAGCAAAAACCAAACAGCAGAAACCTCTGCAAGAACCAATGCCAGGGTAGGAAAAGCTAAACTATAATTGAAGAATTGGTGAAGGGTTAGTGTGGACAAGCCTGAGAGTTAAAATTTTCACAGGGACCTAGTCATGGGGGGCAGGGTTCAGACTTTAGAGAGTTTTTTCCTCAGGATTTCAACCAGGTTGTCACAGGGAATAATAGAGAATAATCGCCTTATGCTTCTAGCAGGTATTGGGATAAAGTAATCATTTGAAAATATGCCAGAATAGTCTGTTCTCCTTAACCCGGCCTGCTCTCAAAAGAAACAATTTTAGCAAAGCCCAAGTTATTTATTTATTCATTTATTTTTAATTTTTTTTTTCAGAAGCAAGCCAATTTAGGGAAAGGAAAATATCCAACTTCAGTCTGCCCCAGCTATCCTGTCCCAGGAAAGGTTGGGGAACTAATAAACACTTGTGAAGTTTATAGTCAAGAGGCATGGGCTCATTAAAAGAATGAAACAGAATCACAGGGCTACACAGTGCTTCCTTTTGCCTCATACGTTACCATCACATTACCAACGGCCTACTTGCTGCAGTTTTCTCTACATGGTAAATTATGTGTGGCTCATAAGAAAAAAAAAAATCCAAGACATACTAGAGGGTAGAAAACACAGTTTGAAGAGACAAAGCCAACACCAGAACCAGAATCAGATACTGAAATGATCAGAATGGGAAATTAAACACTTTGATTAACATGATAAAGGATTTAATGGATAAATTAGCATGTAAGAACAGTGGAAAACATAAACAGAAAGATGAAAATTCCAAGAAAAATTTTAAAAAGTGAGAGATCAAAAGCACTGGAGCAGAAAGAGATAATGCCTTCTATGGGCTCATTAATAGACAACTTGGGTGAGTATATGCCAATCTTTGAGCTTTAGGATATGCCAAGAGAAATGCCAAAAACTGTAAAGCAAAGATCAAAAAGAAAAATACAAACAGAATAAACTGTGGAAAATTATACAAAAGATGTAACATTGATGTACTGTGAATTGCAGAAGGAAAAGGAAAAGAAAAATGAACAGAAGAAATATTCGAAACAATGATGATCAGATACCTAACCCCATAGTGTCATAATACATGAGGCAAAACCTGATAGAACTCCAAGGAGATATAGAAGAAACCACAATCATAGCTGGATACTTGAATATCCTTATATTACAAAAAGGCAGATCAAGTGTGTAGAAAAACAGTAAGGACATAATTGAACTCAGTAGTACCATCAGTCAACTAGGTGTAATTGACATCTGTTGACTATATCCAACAACAAAAGAATACATATTCTTCTCTTTTTATTTATTTATTTTTTATTTTTTTTTTTTTTTTTTGAGATGATAGAGTCTCACTCTTACCCAGGCTGGAGTATAATGGTATTATCACAGATCACTGCAGTCTCCTGGAGTCAAGCAATCCTCCCACCTCAGCCTCCTGAGTAGCTGGGATTACAGGTGCATGCCACCATTCCTGGCTAATTTTTGTATTTTTTATGGAGACAAGGATTCATTATATTGCCCAGGCTGGCCTTGAACTCCTGAGCTCAAAGAATCCTCTCACCTTGGCCTCCCAAGTGCTGGGATTACAGCCATGCGTGGTCTTACATATTCTTCTCAAGTTCTCATGGTACATTCACCACGTTTTAGGCCATAAAACACCTCTTAAAAATTAAGAACAATAGAAATCTTAGCCGGGTGCGGTGGCTCATGCCTGTAATCCTAGCACTTTGGGAGGCCGAGGCAGGTAGATCACGAGGTCAGGAGTTCGAGACCAGCCTGGACAACATGGTGAAGCCCCGTCTCTACTAAAAAAGATACAAAAATTAGCCAGGCATGGTGGAACATGCCTGTAATCCCAGCTACTCGGGAGGCTGAGGCAGGAAAATCGCTTGAACTCCGGAAGGGGAGGTTGCAGTGAGCCAAGATTATGCCATTGCACTCCAGCCTGGGTGACAGAGCGAGACCCTGTCTCAAAAAAAAAAAAAAAAAAAAAAGAAAGAAAAAAGAAAAGAAAGAAAGAAAAAAGAAGAAAGAAAGAAAAAAAAAGGAAATCTGACAATATCTGCTCTGAGAAAATAACGGAATTAAATGAGAAATTAATAGAAAACAGAAAACAGATAGCAAGGAAATTCCAAACTAGCTAGATACTAAATAACACTCTTCTAAATAACACATGGGTGAAAGAAGAACTCTCAAGAGGGATTTAAAAATATTTTCAACTAAATAAAAATAAAAATGCACGCTATCAATATTTGCAGGTTACAGAAAAGCAGGGAGTAGAGAGAAATGTATAACACTGAATCCATATGTTTGAAAACTTAAAATATCTAAAACCAATCATCTAAGCTTCCACCTTAGGAAACTAGAACAATAAGAGCAAATTAAATCCAAAGTAAGCAGAATAAATGAAACATTAAAAATTAGAAGAGATATCGATAAAATTTAAAATGGGAAATCAAAAGAGAAAATAAACAAAACTAATAACTAATTTTCTAATAAAACCAATAACTTGATTTTTAAAAAAAAATTGGATAAGCCTCTAGACAGGATAACTAACAAAAAAGAAGACACACGTTATTAACATCAAAAATAAAATAGAGGACATCACTACAGATACCATGGAATATTAAAATAATAAAAATAGTGTGAGCAACTCTATATCCACAAATTTGATAACCTAGATAAAATTGACAAATTCATTGAAAGACACAATCTTCCAAAACTCACCTGAGGGGGAAATAGACAATTTGAATAGGCCCATGTATATTAAAGAAATTAAATCAATAGCTATTAATCCTCCAAAACAAAAAGCACCAGTCCCAAAGATGTTCACTGATGAATTCTACCAAACATTTAAGAACAGCACTATAAACAATTTTCTGCAATCTCTTCCAGAAAATAGAAGTGTAGAGTCCAAATTCTAATTACTCTGTGAAGTGAACATTATCCTCCTACCAAAACAAGTAAAAGGCATTACAAGAAAGCTACAGACCAATACCTTTTATAATCTTATGTGCAAAAATTCTCAAGAAAATATTAAAATATTGAATCTAAGAATATATAAAAAATATACACTATGATGAAACAAGGTTTATTTTACGTATGGAAAGCTGGTTCAACATTCAACAATTAATTAATGTAATCCATTACATCAACACACTAAAAAAACCATGATTATAATAATATATACAGATAAAGCATTTGACAATTCTAAATGCATTTATGATAAAAACTCTCAGCAAACTAAGAATAGACGGGAACCTCTTCTACATGATAACACCTAAATGAATCCCTACAACTAACGTTGTATATGTGATAAAGAAGGAGTCTTCCCTTTAAGATCAAAAAATGAGTCTAAAATGTCTCCTGTCACCACTTCTTTTCATCATGATACCGAAAGTCATAGATAATTAAATGAGACATGAAAAGTATATAAAAGGCATACTAAAATTAAGAAATACACATAATACTGAAGGAAAAGAAAGAAGTGTGTTTTTTTACAGATGCTATGAATTAACAAAAACCTCCTGAAACTAATACTTAATTCTTGAAATGTTGTGGTGTTACCAAAATCTGCAAGAATCCCTGGTTTTTAGGCTTACTTGGAGAAGTATCCGGCCAAGTGACTGATTTAGCCAAAAAGATGATTTATTGAAAGAAAATAGAGAACACAGAACTTATTTAAAGAGACAGTACACTCTGAAAAGATGAAGCAAAGAGGGCTGCTGAAGGGAGTGAGCCAGTAGCAGCCTGACAGTTCTGCACTGGGTTTTTATGATGTTGGACTTTTCCCGAAGTTTCTGCAGCTGTCTTAAGTCTCTACTTTTTTTATTTGTTTAGTTTTCTTACTTCTGCCCTAAGTCCCCTCCTTTTACCCGCCTAGTTCCCACCTAGGCCTAGTGAGACCCTTCCTTACTATTAGTTGGTGCCTATGTACAGACCCAGTGTTGGATATAAATTGTGCCTGTGTTATCTCTTAGGAATTTCTTCTTTGCCCTTTGCCCCTACTTAGGCATGTAGCTAGCTGCATTCTGGCAGGTTACCTGCAGAGTTATAACTGCAGAGTAACCACCAAAAACCTGCATGCTAAATATGAGTAGAAAGGAGGGGAAATACCTATGCAGGAAGGAACACATAGGGAAGAACTCATTTCTTCCTGCATAGGTCTTTCCTCTCCTCTTTGCTTATATCCAGCATGGAGGTTTTGGGTGGTCCCTAGGGTGTAAGATTTTCCAGACCTCCCTTTTCTCAAGGGCTCCCCACTTCTGCTTATGTCTGGCTGTCTTCCTACTCTAACAGTGGGAGACAATATAGCACACAAAAGTCAACTACTTTTCTATGTTAAAGCAATGAACAAATGGAATCTGAACTTTAAAACACAATAACATTTATAGTAGCATCCTCCCAAATGAAATGGTCAGGTATAAATCTAACAAAACATATACATGGTCTGTAAAAAAAAAAAAAAGTGCATAAAAAGTCTGATGAAAGAAATAAAAGAACGAACAAAATTAATGGAGAGATATTACATGTTCATGGATGGAAAAACTCAGTATTGTCAAGATGTCAGCTCTTTTCAACTTGATCTACAGAATGAAAGCAATCCTTATCAAAATTGCAGAATGTTATTTTGTGGATCTTCAAAAATTCATTCTAAAGTGTATAGGGAAAGTTAAAAGTCCCAGAAATGTCAACACAATATTGAAACGAACAAAGTCTGAGGACGAACGCTATCAAACTTCAACATTTACTATGAAGTTTCTGCAATTAAGACAGTGGGGTATTGGCAAAATAATAGAAAAATTGATCAATGGAATGCAATAGAGAACCAGAAATAGACCCACATAATTATAGTCAATCAATATTTGGTGAAAGAGCAAAGGCAATACTCTAGAGCAAAGATAGTCTCCTCAGTAAATGCTAGGAAAGCAACTGGACATCACTATTCAAAAAAAAGTAAATTTAGATATAGACCTCCCTGTTCACAAAAATTAGCTCGAAATGGACCATAAACCTAAAAGTAAAATGAAAAACTATATAACATTTAAAGGATAATACAGAAGAAAACATGGGTATGGCAATGACTTTTTGGGCACAATGACAGAGACACAATCCATGAAGAAAAAAATGGTAAGCTTAACCAAATTAAAATTTAAACCTCCACTCTGTGCAAAACACAAGGAAAAGGATGAAAAGACAAGCCAAAGAATGGAAGAAAGTATTTGTACGATATATTTCCAATAAATTACTGTTATTCAAATATACAAAGAAAATCTTCAGACTCAACAACAAGAAAATGAACAACCAAATGTAGAAAGATGCCAAATCCATGAATAGACACCTAAACAACAACAAAAAAGATATACAGATGGCAAATAAGCACATGAAAAAATGCTCTGCCATATGTAATTAGGGAAATGCAAATCTAATGAGCAATGACATACCACTACACACCTATTAGAAAGGCCAAAATCTGCAATACTGATACCACTAGATGCTGGTGAGAATGTCAAGCAATAGGAGTTTTCATTCATTGCTAGTGGGAATGCAAAATGGTCAGCCACTTTGGAAGTCAGTTTGGCAGTATCTTACAAAACTAAGCGCATACTCTTACCATCTGATCCAGTATCTTTGGTATTAAGCCAAATGAGTTGAAAACTTGTACACACACACACACACACACACACACACACACACAAAAGTAAAAATACAAAATCTCCACATGAGTCTTTATAGCAGCTTTATTCATAATTGTCAAAACTGAAATTATCTCCTGAAGTAACATCAGCCAGATGGTGAAATAGGATTTTCCAGTGCTCATCTTGTCACAGAAACATCAATTTAATCAACTAACCGTGCACAAAATACCTTCACAAGATCTAATATATCCAAGTGAGAGATTATAGTACTCAGATGTACCACAGAAATAAGAAAAGATACACTGAAGGTAGTTGGAAGGGCAGTTTCATATTACCCACATCACTTCTTCTCCAAGCCCAGGCAGCAAAGTGTAGAAGGAGATATCCTTCACATGGGGGAAGGAGAGTAAAGTGAGAACTTGACTTTTTTGTGGACTCTAACACAAAGCCCACCCCTGTGAAACCTGGTACCAAGCTGACTCTCACAGCCCTAGGCTCTAAGCTAACCTTTTCAGGTTCAGACTCCAGGCTGGTTCCACCACCAGCTCAGCAGATGGAGCCCAAGTCTTCAGGGCCACTTTGCAACATGTTGGTCGCAGGTCCCAGACTGACCCTCACTGGGACTCAGGTCCACCCCATCAGGCTGGCACCTGTAGCCTCAGACATCAGGCACACCCTAGTGTTAGACTTTCCCTCGTAGCCTGTGTCCAGCTTGCCACCTGTAGACCAAGCCTCCTGACCCAATCCAGTGTCAGGCCAGCTCCTGTGGACCCAGTGTCCAGGTACAACCCAGCAGACTCAAGCTCCACATTCACCCCAGGCACCAGTTTCAAACCTGCAGGCTAAAGTACCAGGCTGGTCCCATATAGAAAAAACTAAGGGTTAATTTTTTGGAAAATAAAAATTGGCATACTTTACCTAGACTAAGAAAAAAATGGAGAAGACTCAAATAAATAAAACTATAAATAAATGAGGAGACATTATGTCTGATACCACAAAAATACAAAGAATCACAGCAGACTACTATGAACAATTACACAGAAATAAATTGAATAACTTAGAAGAAATGGATAAATTTCTAGAAACTTACAATCAATCAAGATTATATCATAAGGAAATCTGAACAGACAAGTAATGAATAAGAGTGTTGAATTGGGAATCAAAAACTTCCCAACAAAGAAAAGCCCAGGACCATGTGGCTTCACTGGTAAATTCTACCAAACATTTAAGGGAAGATTAATGTCAATAGTTTTCAAATTCTTACAAAAAATTGAAGAGAATGGAACATTTGCAAATTCACTTTACAAGGCCAGCATTACCCTGATACCAAAACCAGGTAAAGACTCTACAAGGAAAAGATAATGACAGACCAATATCCCTGATAGACATAGATGCAAAAGTCCTCAACAAAATACTAGATAGCCAAATCTAACATTAAAAGGATAATACACCATCATTAAGTGGGTTTATCCCTGGTATGCAAGCTTGGCTTAACATATGCATATCAATAATTGTGATACACCACATTAACACAATAAAGGATAAAATCATTTGATCATCTCAATAAATGTAAAAGTTGCATTGATAAAAATTCAACATCCTTACATGATAAAAACTCTCAACAAATTAGGTATAGAAATGTACCTCAACAGAATAAAGGTCATATCTGACAAACCCACGTTATCATTATTCTCAACAAAGAAAAGCTGTAAGCTTTTCCTCTAAGGCCAGGAACAAGACAAGGACGCTCAGTCATACCATTTCTATTTTAAAAAGTACTACAAGTTCTAGCCAGAGCAATTAGGCAAGAAAAGAAATAAAAGGCATCCAAATTGGAAAGGAAGAAGTAAAATGTTCTGTGAGTAGATGACATGATCTTGTATATAGAAAACCCTAATGACATCACCAAATTGTTAGAACTAATAAACTATTTAGTAAAGTTACAAGATAGAAAATCAGCATATAAAAATCAGCAGCATTTCTATGCCATAACTCCAAACTAAGAGTAGATTTTAAATTTTCTCACCACAAAAACATAGGTATATGTTGTGATGAATATGTTAATTAGTTTGATTTATTAATTTTCCAATGTGTACATAAATCAGAACATCACATTGTATACCACAAATTTATACGATTTTAATTTTTCACTTATACTCTAATAAAGTTGGGAAAAACAAAACAATACAAAACAAATTGCAAAAACTCAGAAGTAACCCAGAAGTCCTTCAGTAAATGTTTGGATAAATGGATGAACAAATTGGTATATCCAGAAAATGAACTATTATTCAGGGCTAAGAAAAGAAAAAAAGCTATCACACCAAGAAAAAAATAGAGAAACGTTAAATGCTTATTACTAAATGAAAAATCAAACTTGAAAAGGCTGTGTACTCTAAATTCCAACTACATGGTATTCTGGAACAGACAAAACTATGAATATAATAAAAGGATTTGTGGTTGCCAGGGGGTAGGAGAGAAAGACAGATGAATAAGCAAAGTACAAATGTATTCTTTAGGGCAATGAAACTACTCTCTATGATATTATAATGATGAATACATGTCTTATATATTTGTCAAAATCCATAGAATGTACAACACCACAAATGGAACCTCATGTAAAATATGGACATTGCGTGATAAATATGTGTCAGTATAGGTTCGTAGATTTTAATGAATGTACCACTCTGGTGTGGGATGTTATTAGTCGAGTAATAGTAGGTCAGTATGTTGGGAGAAGGGTTATATGGGAAACTTCTATACCTTCTTTTCAATTTTAAAATTAATCAAAAACAACTCTAAAAGTCTATTTTTAAAAAATAATTTGGAGTAACATATTTCAGACAATCAGAATTTTTGTCCAAAAATGTTCATTTGTTTTCAAAGCCATGAGTCAGAAAAATCATGTATTAAAGACTTTTTAAAAAATTATTTTAACACAATTTTAGATAACTTGCTCTCCCTATCACCATGGGCTAGTTGAAAGTTGACTGTAGTTCCACCTACTCAGCTACTCAGGAGGCTGAGGTGGGAGGATCATTTGTGTCTAGGAGGTTAAGGCTGCAGTGAGCCATGATTGCACCACTGCACTTCTACCTGGGCAACAGAGTGAGTTGAGACCCTGTCTCAAAAACAAACAAACAAACAAACAAACAAAAAAACCACCACCAACAACAACAACAAAAACAAACTTGGCTATATTATGTGAAAAGAAAGTGAAACAAAAAACAGCAAGATATAATATCAATCACCTAATAAAACAATATTTTGAATTTGTTTCTATCACATTGCAGTACCCAAGCAAATGCTCACTGTTTTCAAAGTGGTCATGTCATAATGATGATAGCAATAATTGAGACTTATTTTTTAAATGTGTACTTTTCACAAGAATTTCAAAGCATATAGAAGTTAGATTGTTTTATTGTGCTTCTGATTTTGATACTCTTTTTGTTCCTGATGAGCATATAATCAATAAAGATGAGCATTTGGGTTTATTTTAATGATTACAGTTTTGATACATAACTTTCCTTGAAAAATGTTTGTAGTAACTTAAAGCAACATTTATTAAGCTGCGTTTCAAGGAGGTATCTTCGTTCATAGCCCTTATAAAATTGTCTATTTGCTATTTTTCAATATTAACTTTATTTCACAAAGGTATCCATTTTTTTCTGACAATACTTTCCATTTTCTGTATATTGGATGTGTGCTCATGGGGTAATTAATCCTCTGTTTTTTCACATTAGGCAATTCAGCAAGCTGACTGAATTTTGAAAGGTACTGTCAACTGTCACTTGTCAGAATGGGGAGGGGATGGGAGGAGAGAAAGGACACAGAGTGAATTTAATCATAATCTCAGGTAAAAGCACTCACTTTTAGAAGGGCACTGTGAAAAACCTGTCTGTGACACTGTTTTGCTCAATTTGTTAAAGAAAAGGAAAATATCACAGAAAAAATAAAAAGTCTTTATCAATCCAACACAGATCCTCATACCATGTAGAAACCAAATCCCAGCTCCAGGATCAAACTGCATACAAGTATATTGAATCTGGCACAAATATATACTATTGTGCAGACTCCCATAGCTCAGAGATAAATTGGTACCAAGACATGAAAACTGTATTTTTTCATGTCTAAATTTTATTGGTGGTTGATTGCATTTCAAGATAAGTTTTTATCTGTGGTTGTCAGTTCTTTATATGAAAAGCATTAGTGATCAGTTATTTACCATATGGAATTTTCCTTCTAAAAGTTCATGCTTTAGAGCTAAACAGAAGGCAAGAAAACCTCATGCCATCCATTTTATTTTAAATAAGCTATGTGAAGATAAATAGAATATATAGATTGAAGAATGATGATTGACCAATGAACTTAGCAATGCAGAAATCATGACCTTGAAAAGAGTAAATGTACTAAAGTGGTTAACATGAATCCATAAATGGATTGAATTCAAAATATATTTGGAAAATATTGGAGCTACTACATAAAGATGTTTTTGAAGAGCTATGTTATAAAGAAGGAAGGCAGAGAACTTGGTTAATTGCTCAAAGAAGAAATGGAGTGAATTTCAAAATCATAGTTAAACCTCACTTCATCTTATATTCTTTTTTGTTTTTTTGAGATGGAGTCTTGCACTGTTGCCCAGGCTGGAGTGCAGTGGCACAACCTCGGCTCACAGCAACCTCTGCCTCCCGTTCAAGCAATTCCCCCTGCCTCAGAATCCCATGTAGCTAGGATTACAGATGTCCACCTTCCACCATACCCGGCTAATTTTTGTATTTTTAGTATAGATGGGGTTTTGAAATGTTGGCCATGCTGGTCTAAAACTCCTGACCTCAGGTGATCTGCCCACCTGAACCTCCCAAAGTGCTGGGATTACAGGCGTGAGCCACCGCACCGGGTCACTTCATCTTATAGTCAATACTGCTTTCTGCTCTTGCAAAAATATTCGAAAGAATGTATGACAAGGATGGCATTACCTCAGAGCTATAACAAAATTGAATTTTGTCATTTGATTATTCCACTATAAAGACACATGCACACGAATATTTATTGCAGCACTGTTCACAATAGCAAATACTTGGAACCAACAGGGGAGATCTTCATGGTGATTATCAATATCAATAAAATGTTATATTGTAGTTTTTTTTTAATTTTACTTTAAGTTCTGGGATACATGTGCAGAACGTGCTGGTTTGTTACATAGATACATATGTGCCTTTGCTGCACCTATCGACCTGTCATCTGGGTTTTAAGCTCTGTATGCATTAGGTATTTGTCCTAATGTTCTCCCTCCCCTTTCCCACCACCACACGACAGGCCCCATTATGTGATGATCCCCTCCCTGTGTCCATGTGTTCTCATTGTTCAGCTCCCACTTATGAGTTAGAACATGCGGTGTTTGGTTTTCTGTTCCTGTGTTAGTTTGCCAAGGATGATGGTTTCTAGTTTCATCCATGTCCCTGCAAAGGACATGAACCCATTCCTTTTTATGGCTGCATAGTATTCTATGGTTTATATGTGCCACATTTTCTTTATCTAGTATTGGGGAACCTGCCCCCGATAGTCACATAGGTTCCTCTCTATTTTTTTCATTTCGTCTTTAGAATAAATTTTTAGTAATCAAATGTTAGACCTCCTGAGTTAACCTCATTGGTCTTTTGTTTATTTTCTCTAATTCCCATTTCTTAGTCTTTGGTTCTACTTTCTAGGATATTTATTAATTTTAGCTTAAGAAATTTCTAGTGAATTTTTTTGTGTGTATATATATACACACTCACACACATACACAGAGAATCTGTCTGTCCTTATTCTTTGCTCATTTCCTTCGGCATATTGTTCTCTTATAATTAATGTAATATATTTGTCTTATAGCATATTAATTACATTTTTGTTTTCTTATGTTTTTATCACAAAATTAAATTCATACTTTTATTTTAAAAGTCAAACTATGTATAATTGTAAAAAAAAGTTTATCTTCCTACTGAACAATAATGAATAACACCAAAAGAGCCATTTTCAAAAATATCATCTAATATAAAGGACATATACACCTGAACCTTTCTTTCTCAAACACTGTCCTCATATCTTTTCATTGCTGAAACAGCTCAAAGAGTAAATAAGTATGTTTAGTGTCAAGAGTGATCATTGCCAAAGTACATAAATTTGTATTCCTTAGAAAAAGATGTCAGTGAAAAAGCAAATAAACTCCATTTCTCTTCAATATGTCTCTTCATTTCTCTATTCCTTGTCTTACATATTTTGAAATGTTTACCCTCATTAGCCAGAAGATATATTTAGGTAGCTTATAGATTAAAATACAGTGCACAGTAAGATAGTTGTAAATACTAAAGGAAACATATGGAGGAGTGATTAGTAACCTGTGGCCTGAAAACTACAGACAGTCTGACACATTATCATTCCAAGATTTAAGAATGGAAATACACATTCAATGTGAACCTAAAATAATCAAAAGGTCAGAATCTATTTTAATTGGAATTTATTCAAGTACAAATTTTGAGGATGAGCAAAGCACAGATTTCAAAAAATGGAAGTCAGTGCTCTGAAGTGTAAAAGTTTGGGATGACATGTAAACAAAGTTTATGGAAGTTTAACAGAATTCTAACATCTTTCTATATAAGGCTTAATGCTTCATGAGAATAATCTGAATAATTGAGGTGCTTTTTTTTTGGAAAGGTATATTTAACATTTCACACTAAAGAAGTGATGTAACAATCATAGGCCTTGGATGCCATCTGGTCTGAGTTAGGTAAAGGAAAATAAAATAGGCAGTTAATCTGTAACAAAGATGAGTGATTGTAAGGTGGAGGACTGCTCTTTGGTCTCCTAGTAATGTACAGAACAAGAACAATGAGAAAGGGAGTTAATTTGTAATTTAAGAAGCAGAATTAGAAAAATGCTGTAACTCAGACTTTAGGGATTTATAGGCCCTTTATATAATACATTTAAAAGAACCTGAAATTTCATTTTCTTTTACATATCCCACTTTTCTTCAAAATCTTTTGGAGAAAACATTGCCTAAGAATCAGGTATTTAGGTAGTGTATTTATGACAAAATCCCATGTCGCTTTCTTTGAGCAGTGTTTTGTAGTTCTTTTTGTAGAGATCATTCACCTCCCTGGTTAGCTGTATTCCTAGGTGTTATATTTTTCTCTGATAGTTGTGAATGGGATTGCATTCTTGATTTGGGGATGACACAAACAAATGGAAAAAGATTAGATGCTCATGGTTAAAAGGACCATACTGCCCCCCAAAATTTAAAGATTCAATTCTATTCCTATTATACTACCATTGACATTCTTCACAAAATTAGAAAAAAAAAAGTATTTTAAAATTCCTCTGGAAACCAAAAAGAGCATGAATAGCCAAGGCAATCCTAAGCACAAAGAATAAAGTTGAAGGCATCATGTTACCTGACTTCAAACTATCCTACAGGGCTACAGTCACCAAAACAGCTTCCATGGTACTGGTACAAAAACACACACATAGAAAAATGGAACAAAATAGAGCACCTAGAAATAACGCCATGCACCTACAACTATTTGACCTTTGACAAACATGACAAAACCAAACAATGTGGAAAGGATTCCCTATTCAAAATGGTGCTGAGATAACTGGCTAGCCATATGCAGAAGATTGAAACTGGACCCCTTCCTTACACAATATACAAAAATTAACTAAAACGGATTAAAAACTTAAATGTAAAACGCAAAAATATAAAAACTCTGGAAGACTACCTAGGGAATACCATTCTTGACATAGGAATGGACAAAGATTTCATGACAAAGACATAAAAAGCAATTGCAAGAAGGGCAAAACTTGACAAATGGGATCTAATAAAACTAAAGAGCTACTTCACAGCAAAAGAAACTATCAACAGAATGAACAGATAACATACCAAATAGAAGAAAATGTTTGCAAATTATGCATCTGACAGAGGTTTAATATCCAGCATCTGTAAAGAACTTAAACATATTTACAAGAAAAAAACAAACAACCCCGTTAAAAAGTGGGCAAAGGACATGAACACTTTTCAAAAGAGGACATAAATGCGGCCAAAAATCATATAAAAGAAAGCTCAACATCAGTGATAACTAGAGAAATGCAAATCAAAACCTCGATGAGATACCATCTCATACCAGTCAGAATGGCTATTATTAAAACGTCAAAAAGTAACAGATGCTGGCAGGGTTGTTGAGAAAAAGAATGCTTATACACTGTTGGCGGGGGTGTAAATTAGTTCAACCATTGTGGAAGACAATGTGGTGATTCCTCAAAGACCTAAAAACAGTGATACTATTCGATCCAGCAGTCTCATTACTGGATATATGCCCCTAAAATATAAATAATTCTATTATAAAAACACATGCACCTATATGTTCATTGCACTACTAGTCACAATAGCAAAGAAATAATATCAACCTAAATGCCCATCAATAGTAGACTGGATAAAGGAATTGTTGTACATATACACCATGAAATACTATGCAGCCGTAAAAAAGAATGAGATTGGATCCTTTGGAGCAACATGGATGCAGATTAAGACCATCATCTGAAGCGACCTATCACAGGAATAGAAAACCAAATACCACATGTTCTCGCTTATAAGTGGGAGCTAGTCAATGAGAACACAGGGACACATAGAGGGGAACAACACTCAGTGGGGTCTATCAGAGGGTGGAGGGTGGGTGGAGGGAGAAGATCAGAAAAAAACAACTCATAAGTACTAGGCTTAATACCTGGGTGATGAAATAATCTGTACAACAGATCCCCATGATACAAGTTTACCTATGTAACAAACCTGCACAAGTACTCCTGAACTTAAAATAAAAGTTCAATTAAAAAAAAAAAAATCTGCCAGCTGCAGTGGCTCACGCCTGTAATCCCAGCACTTTGGGAGGCCGAGGTGGGTGGATCACCTGAGGATGAGAGTTTGAGACTAGCCTGACCAACATGGAGAAACCTCGTCTCTACTAAAAATACAAAACTAGCCAGGCATGGTGGTGCATGCCTGTAATCCCAGCTACTCGGGAGGCTGAGGCAGGAGAATCGCTTGAACCCAGAAGGTCGAGGTTGCGGTGAGCTGAGATGGCGCCACCGCACTCTAGCCTGGGCAACAAGAGTGAAACTCGGTCTCAAAAAAAAAAAAAAAAAAATCTATGGAAGTCATGTCCCATGAAAGTGAGGACGATACATCTCACTGAAGAATTTTATGAGTGTCAAAAGACAAACTAGGATGGCAGAACAGGGTGGCAACAATGCAACCTCAGTCAAGTTGCTGATTTATACAGCTGTTGTTAATTATTGAATCATCTCTAATCTTTGGAAGCATTATGGGTTAATTTTCTTGGGAGAAGTAAAACAATGAGAGATACATAGCAGAAATATAGTGTACATAAGGATTATAGTTAAAAAGAGAATTCGTGTGTCAGAACAAAAAACCTATTTCACTGGGGAGTCAACTAAAAACATCATGAAGAAAATTAAAACCCAGTCCTTCTTTATAGACCTGTTGTAGCCATAAAATAATTTGGGATTTAGTCCAAATTGTAGGAAAATAATACAAACTCAGAAATAATGATGAGAGCTGGAATGTAATAATAGGTTTGTTATAATTTTCCCTGATACATAATTTTTCTCTCCCCAGTTCCCCATTTCTACCAAAGATATATCTTAGCAAAACCAACTTACTTGCAAAATAAGTTTTAGTATTTTACTTGGCCTGATTATTTGCATAAACAAGAATAATGAATGGTCATATAGGGTCCTTTAAGTTGACTTTGCTGGAATGTTTTCATAAAGAGTCTCAAATTCGACTTCTAAAAGCCTTTTAAGACCGGGAAACCAAGCCAATGATTCACCATTACACTATGCCTGTAATATGTGCATAAATTGATTGAATTTCTCTCTTCTTGAGGTCCCCAAATATCTTGAGGTTCCTAGGCTCCTAAGGGAACCAAGTAGATGAGGTACTAGGCCAATCTTTCTAAGGGGCTCTTTATCAACTTTATAAGGTCCACTTAAATTCCTCAAAGCAGTCTCGTCATATCCGTAAAATATGCCATTTCAGATGAAGCTTTGGTTAAATAACCAGTGTTTTCAATTGTGTCCTGTTATCAAGGAAAATGGATTCTTATTGAATTGTTTTCTTGATTCTGGAAAATAAAATAAGAAGTAAATCAGCAATGTTTCAAACAAAAAAGTAATAAAAAATGACTGAATTCTATAACAATTCCATGCATTTAATTCTTATTCTGCTTAATGTTGGCTTAGCATTCCTTATAAAGGTATTTGCTTTTTAATTAGAGTCCTGGAAATGTTTTATCTAGTCCAATGAAAGGTATAATCTCCAAAGTTATCAGAAATCCTTATTTAAGAGTACTTGCCAATGTCCTTTTTCTTTTTATGAATTTCCTTGAAGAAAAGGCAAATTTTGAACTGTAGAGAATTGAAAACCATTTTCTGAAAAAAATCAAACAATAATTGTTTATGTGTGACAAAAGACTTAGATTAGCCATGCTTAAAGATGCAATTGAGAAGAAAATTTGGTCATTTCTGTGGCATATAACAATTTAACTTAATAATCCTAATTATGACTGACAACATACATGAAGACATATCAGAATTTAGGAATATCATACAATTTTTAAAAAACATTAATAACATTTATACAAATATAACTTAAATTAAACACCATTTCTTATTTATGAATTCTTCCCACATAATTTTAACATACCAAATAATCCTAATATGTCTTGCTTGGACTTCCATGGATTCCTATTTGTTACATTTAAGTTAGTTCACGTAAAAAAAAAATCTTAATTTTAGAATTTAAAATTTGATTTGGGGGAGTATGCCAAATATCAAAGATTGGAAACACTTAATATTAAAATTAGGATCGCAGGTCACTGTAAAATGTCATTTATGTAGCTAAAATGATAATTCAAAGATTTCAAAAGGCAAAGGGCATTAACCTGATAGAGACTCAATTTCCCAAACAATTAAAAGATCCTCAGAAGATAGAATGATACCAAAAGGACATGTCTCTCCGTCTCTGCCCACCTCTATTATTGTTTCTGCAATTTACTCAGAAGGGAAACAAATCTTTTACTATCTCTTATTAATACTATACAAAATTCATGTTCGAAAACACAAATTTTACTTTTATATTCATGTATTTAAAATACAAAAGCTAATATTAATAAAACCTTAAAATCAAATTCATCTAATCTCAATTTGCTTGGAACACATATTAGAAGATTTTTATGCAACATTTGTAATATCTTACAATTTTTTTCATTTTTTTCTTTCCCCAACTTTTAGATCCAATTAAAGTTTTTTCTACATATCATTTTACTTCATTTTGAAACAAACTTCAAATAACATTTAAACCAGAAAAAAAATCATCTTTTCTTTAATAAAAATCACATATTTATGTTTTTCTTATAACCTTTTTTCCAAAAAGTGCTATTTTAAAAATATATTTTGCATTTAGAATTGTACTTAGTACAATTTAGTACTATCAATTACATATATTAATTATAATATTAACTCAGTAACCCTAAGTTTCTGTGAAAAACCTAGAAAGTAAGTAATTTTAAAACATTTTATACCACTATTTGTAGAAGAATACTATTTTATAATCGGTATACGTATTTATTATTTTTAAGCGATAAGGTTTTGCTCTGTTACTCAGGCTGGAGTGTATTGGCACAATCATAGCTCACTATAACCTCTAACTTCTGAGCTCAAGGGATCTGGGATTCTCTCATGTCAACGTCCCAAGTAACTGAAACTACAGGCATGCATCATCACATCTGAGTAATTTTTAAATTTTTTGATAGCGATGAGGTTTTGCTGTGTTTCCCAGGCTGGTCTCAAACTTCTGTCCTCAAGTAATCTTCCCAAATCAGCCTACCAAAGAGCTGGAATTACAGGCATGACACTCTGTGCATGGCCCCATTTCATAATTTTTAAAAAATGTTTCCTCGATTTTTTTGTTTATCAACAAATTTAAGCATATTTAGTTTTTCTATGCCATATAAAAATAATATGCCAAATTATATAAACTTAAGCTTATATTTGATAATTAATGTTTCAGTATTTTAACTTACCTAGAAATGTCTCAGTCATCAAATATTTATCTATCACTTCATTTAACATAACAATAATTCAAGATATCAAATTACTAAAATATTTTTGAAACTGTAAAAACTTCATTTATAAACTTATATCTCATTTAATTTGTTCCTAATATTTATGATTGAATAGTTCGTTAAACTAAGCTAGCCATCACCTCGTTAATTTTTTATTTACCATTTTTATATTACTGCATGTTAAGCAAATATAGCAGCAAAAAATCATAAAGTTGAATGCATTTTTTGTTCATAACAGAATAAATTATTGTTTTTGTTAAGTTGAAAATATTAAACTACTCTTACTTACCAAAGATTTACACAAGTCATGCAAATTAAATGGCATTTGAGGAGTTAGTTTCTATTTTTCTGATAAAATATTTGACTTAGGCACTTACTTTTTTTAAGCCAATTATTTAGAGCTCTTTCACATGTTTTGGTAGTGAAATGTCGCCTATAAACATATAGACATAGAGACACACAGACAGAAGCAGATTTTATAGCTTCACGAAGTTTTTCCTTTGCTGGTTTTCAAATAGTTTCTCTCATTCCTTCAGACTATCAAGCCCTAAATAATTGTTAGCCAGGCAACAGTAAATTTGCTCTTCCAAAAGACATGACTCAGGCAAAATTTACATCCCAAAGGCAAATAACTTAGATGTAAACAGCATTATTTGCTGAGAGAAAGAATGAAATAGGTACAGGCTGAGTCAAGACAAAATTGCAGGAAAGTATCTTGAACAAAGGTAAGGTTTGTTATGTAAACTTAGAGCCAATATATTCATCATGCAGAAAGAGAGATGTTCTTACAAATGAAGATCTCCTTTATACCTGTAAAGTTCTTTTACAAAGGGATTTCAAAATAGCCAGCTAAATGCCAGAAAGATGTACTTTTTATACTAATTGTCTTCAGTGGGTGGTCTTGCCAACTTAGCTTCTATTTCTTATCTAAAATTATTGAGTCCGGAGTGGAGCTCATTATGGAAGCAGGCAAATAATTTTTTTATGCCTAGTGTCATCATAGATAGCTCTGAAAAAGAAGTAAGCCTACCTTATCTGAAGGCTTACCTTTTATAAATACTTTATTCCACTTTTCTTTTTTTAAAGCCAAAGGTATCCTTTGGTGGAGTGACCCACCAAAACCAGTGAGCCTTAACCAAATTTACAACTTAACCAAGAATTAACTAGATATCTTCAAAGACGTGTAAAGCAATCCTTACAAGATCCAGAATTACTCCAAAGACAGCTCAAAGAAAGAAAAGTCTTGCTAGTCATAAATGGAATACAACCCACATTTCTATCTGGCCAGATTTTCTAGGATATCAGCTTCTCAGCTGAGCACTTACACATGAAGGCCCCAAAGCTCCATGTGCCCCACATATGAAAAGACAGAAAATCGAAAGCTGTCCATGGAAGGGAAAAGGTTCAGTAACAAATAGGTGCCTAAAAGGTGTGGAGTCATACAAATAATTTAAGACAAATGAGACTGATTCCCTAATGAGGGACTGAAAACAGTTCACAGTGATGAAAGCTCAGAATCCTAACCACTAGACCACAGGGCAGAGTGCTTTTTGCAGATCCTGTATGGGATCCAAAGCAGGCACTTTGAGTATTTAAAGAATTTTCACTTGTTTCAGATCTGATCTCAACTGCTGCTTAGCTAATTCCCTGGATATTACCATTTCAAAGACTTCATAAGATTCACATCTCCAAGGGACCACAAAATAAACCAGGGCATTGAAAGGATTCATCTGTTGTTCCATCAATATATCATCAGTGTTGTTCATCATTTCTGGTTTAGAAATAATTTGTTGGATCTGTATTTTTATAATCTTAGGTTCATTTTCATTCTGTAGTTGTTCTGTTTATTCCCACTGTTCCAAATTTAAAAGCATTGTCCCCCTTTTGAGTAAAGGAAATGTGTGCATAGTGGAATTCCAAAAATCTCTGCCTAAAAGATGTATGGGAACTGAAGAAATAAGCAGAAAGGGATGAGTTCAGAGCTCCAGGCTAAAGAAAACGAGCAGTTGGAGGTGACAGGGAGAAAGCCTTCAGTGTTTACTTTTTTAATTTAAAAAATAGTTTTAGACAATATTTTGTTTTCTTCCTTCAAAGAAATGACTTTATCAGAACCTCTTTTACAGCCTTCTAAGTACTATTGAAAAATATCTCTTCAAGTTCTTTTAGTTTACTTTAGAGCTGGCTGTTTCTCATTGAGCACACAGATAAACAAAAATTTAGGTATTTTAAAGTTACCCTATTCTGGCTACCTGTTTTTAAAGGTACTCCATTTCGGGGTCTTCATGCATTAAGTAAGACCATTTTTCTAGATATCAACAGGAAATGGTGCCATAAGTATTTTACATAAATTCAGTTGGAGTGTCTAAAGGTGGATTTCTCCTTGAGGATAAAGACTTGGCCTTATAGGTATGACTGCTCATAATTTAGATTATTACCTAGTGTGAAGAATTTTGATCATTCAAGAAAGTTTCAAATTGTCAATTTAATCAAGCCTCAGAATCTGGTCAGTTTTAAAGATTACATATATGTTGCTTAAGCTACAAAAATTTCACTTTTTCTTTTCAAAGAGAAACCATTTTCTTCTTGACTGAACTTCTACTGAGAGAAATAGATTGCAAACTTTAATAAGTAAGATAAATAAAATCTTAACCTCAGAGGAAAATGAAAATCACAAATCTGCAGGCAGCAGACTCTATAGAGAATAATAAATAATTCTCCTTCCTTAAAAGCAAAGCTTCAATTCCAGCTCTGGGGAGTGTGATTCAGGTCACTTGAATAAGGCCCAAATTCCAAGCCAAAATTAGAGAGATTTGAAACCCAAGAAGAGTCTTGACAGAGACCCCTGCCAGCTCTGGTGAGGTTGGGTGAACAAAAGCCATATGCGCTGGTATCAAGGCACCAGTTGTCTGCAAAATGGTAGGAATCTTGGAGACTTGCTTCAGGTTCCTTCTGAGTTACCAAAATGTCAACCTAAAATAATCGAAATGGTCAGAATCTAGTTTAAAGAGAGTTTATGCAAGCACAAAGTTTGAGGATGCTCTACCTAAGAAGTACAGATTCCAAAAAAATGGAAATCAGTGTTTCAAAGAGCAAAAGTTTGGGATTGCTTATATAAACAAAGTTTAGGGAAGTTTAACAGAATTTCAACATATTTCTATGTAAGGCATAACACATAGTTTCAATAATCTGATTAGTCAAGGTGGTCTTTTTCTTTCAGAGAGACATATTGAACATTTTACACCAAAGATGTAACAGTTATTGGGTCTTGGGTATCATCTAGTCTGAGTCAAGTACAGGACCAAAAAGGAGACAGTTAATCTATAACAAACATTATAGCTTGTTAATGTTAATGTTTGAATCACTTTCCATTGGAAAGTGGGAAGGTCTGGTCTTTGGTCTCTCCTAGTCATTTATGTAACAAAAACAATGAGGAAGAGGGTTATCTATCATTTAAGAAGCAGAATTGCAAAAGTGATATATGATTCTATCACTAGGGCTTAACTTCTCCCTTAGCATTATAAATTCAGAGGGTCCTGAAATTTTATTTTCTTTTACACATATTATGTATTCTCAACTGTGCCTATATATTAATATTTTAGTAACAATAAAATAGTGCCTAATTCTCATTGTCAATTAGAAAACATATAAAGTATGTAATCTAAGTTGTAAGAATATGCATTTTTATGTAGGGCCCAATGAAGCTATCTTTATTTTGAATGAAAAAATGCAAATAAACATGTTTAAATTCCTTAACTTACCCTCATGTGGAAATTATTGCTCACCAATTTGCTGTATAGGAAGCCAATTCCTAGATACTAATGTATACTATTAGGACTCTGAGATATGCAGGAAATTCCAAATGATTAACATATTTGGCCTCAAGGTCTTGGCAGCTGAGGCAAAGGGTGAAACAGGTTAATTTTCATTTAGCCACTTAAAGTTCATAAAACAACTACAAAGTGCAGGTAAGTATAAAAGAGTTTACTGAGGCTCATGCCTGTAATCCCAACACTTTGGGAGGCCAAGGTGGGAGAATTGCTTGAGGGCAGGAGTTTGAGACCAGCCTGGTCAATACAGCAAGATATCCCCTATCTACAAAAAATAAAATATTTAAAAAAGAGTAGGCAAGTGTGGTGGTGTGTGCTTGTATCCCAGCATCTCAGAAGGCAGAGGTAGGAGAATACCATGAACCCAGGAGTTTGAGGCTGCAGTGAGCTGTGACTGTACCACTATACTCCAGTCTGGGTGAGACAGCAAGACCCTGTCTCCAAAAAAAAGAGTTTACTTAGCACTTTGCTTTCAGTAACTACTTCAAAATATTTTAAAAATGAATGAATGAGTGCATACTTGAAGGAATGATATACTCAACAAAAGAGATCTAAAACCAGCCCTCACAGTGTTTAACTGAAAGACTGTGCTATACGTATTATAACAAGCCAGGCTTTTAAATAGGCACTAAAAAAGAACAAACCCAAATACCTGGTAGCGTACAAGAAGATACAGAACCTCATTAGTAATGAGGGTCAGGTTAAATGAAACTACAATGAAGAAAATATACATAGCTATTTTGACAAAAAAGAAACGTCATTACAAAATTATAGCAGGGACATAAAACAACAAGAACTCTCATATTCTGATGGTAGATTAAATTGATTAAACTTAGATGGACTATGATTACTTTAATTAGAAATGTTGATGTTATTTATCAAACTCAAGCATCTGCCTAAACCATCTTAGCAATTTCACTGCTAGTTGCAAGCAGAGAGAAGTCCTGACTATGTGCACAAGGAAGCTTATATAAGTACATTCATGGAATCAATGTTTATAATGGCAAAAACTTTAAATAACCCAAGTATCTATCAACAATAGAACATGTAATTATGTTGTGGTCATACAATGGAATAAATCATAGGAGTGAAAAAGAGAAAATGGTATTCCTTTACCCTTGAACATGGATGTTTTTCACAAACATAACTTTGAGCAGAAGTGAATCACGGAGTAATGTATATGGAATAGCTAAACTTTACAATAGCTAAACTTTGCACATTGTAAAGTCCAAAGCCACAGAAAACCTAACAATATAGTTGTCTTTTTTTTTTTTTAATACGGAGTTTTGCTCTGTGGCCCAGGCTGGAGTGCAATGGCGCGATCTTGGCTCACTGCAAGCTCCGTCTACGGGGATCACGCCATTCTCCTACCTCAGCCTCCAGAGTAGCTGGGACTACAGGTGCCCGCGACCACGCCCGGCTAATTTTTGTGTGTGTGTTTAGTAGAGACGGGGTTTCACCATGTTAGCCAGGATGGTCTCGATCTCCTGACCTCGTGATCTGCCCGCCTCGGCCTCCCAAAGTGCTGGGATTACAGGCGTGAGCCACCGCGCCCAGCAAACAATACAGTTTTCAAATGTGAATATGTATATGATAAAACCACAAATAAAAGTAAGAGAATGATTAATCAAGATAGAAGTTATATCTGAGGGAGGGGAATATATTCATTGAGGGCTATGCAGGTTATTGTTACATGAGTGTTTATTTTATAATTAATATTTATTAAACTACAAAAATATTTTATACTCTCTTATATAAAAATAAAATTAATGGAACAGTAGTGTAATGAGTTTTAGTATTGTACCATTTAGCCATCAGATTCATTTATTTGGGTTTAGGAGAGAGAGAGATGAGATTCTCTCTCCAGAATGAAGAGCTAAGAAGCAAACCTGGTAGGAAATCATATGATGGTGATGATCATGACGATGATGATCATGATGTTGCTAGATATCAGATGATAAGTAGTATTTATCGAGCACTTACCATGCCCTGGCACCCTAATTAAAGTGTATTATATCATTTAATCTCCAAAGAAAAGTATGTGTTAAATACTATTATCATCCCCATTTTAGAAATGACTAAATGTAAGCAAGGAGAGGTTAAGCCAATTGTTTATGGTTGCACAGCCAGCTTCTACAGTCCAAATTCCAACTAAGACAAGCTCCAGAGTCTGTACCCTTAGCCCACTAAGAAGATAACAGGGGACATGAAAGGTTATGGAATAATAAAGGGACCAGTAAATTGAAGGTGGACTTCAGAAAAAGAAAACAAAGCAATTTCCCACTGGATTGAAAAACAGAATGAGGATTAGGGAATTCCATCTTAAATGAATGAAGCTCTAGAGAAAAAAGGAAATCTAGGCTTAACACAGAAATAAAGATAGTGAATCTCATTAGATAGGCACAAATCATTTTATCAGATGCTCAAAATGTATGTGAACTACTGCTTAACTTAGTTTCAAAAAGCAAGGTCCAAAGACTGCCTATACCCAAATTTTCAGGAAATTTGTTAAGTGTAGATTCCTGGACCTCACCCTTAGTATGAAGTACCAAATCAGAATCCCTGGATGTATGTTTATGAAATAAATTTTAAAATAAATTCCACACATGTTTTATACACAGTCAAATGATACTGGCACTGCCCTAACCTGGCTTTGTGTCACAGTATTCCCAAGTAAACATCCAAAAATATGTGAGATTACTTTTAAGAAAACACAAAAGAAGTAATAGCAAGACAACTAATTTTTCAAGTCTAGTATTATTTATTGGTGTATGTTGCCGAACAATGCTTTCTTTATGAAGGCATATAGGGACTGCCTAGCTAGAAATGGGAATTACTTCTTTAAGCCAAAAAATAATTTTGTTGAAAAAAGAAATGTTTCATTAGGGAAAGAAAGTATCAAGATGGGGCCTCATGTCTTCACACAACTAAGCAATTGAACATTTCTTTCCATGCTGTAAAAGAAAAATGCACAAAGGTAGATGTAGATACTGGATCATCCAGTCTCAGTGTTCTAGCAGTATTCTAGCCAGCTGCTAAGACAGGTGTCTGTGAATTAACAAGCAATTTATTGAATTAAGGTCCTTACCTGATAATGTTTTCCTTAGAAGAAAGCACCTTTTTCTTCCCTGGTAGGGCAAGCTGCTATGAAAATGATGACTATCAATCTACTTTTTATTGCTATTGTTGTTAAGCATATAAAACTTTTGACCTTTGACAAAATACAGAGGCTTCATCAGACCTATATATAAGAAAATGATAGAATCAATTGTTCTATTGACTTATCTTTCTTGCCTTTAGTGTCATTTAAATATATTGATTAATACAACAGAGCTATATTGCCTAGGTTTGGATCTTGGCTTAGCCATTTATTACCTGTGTGACTGTTGGCACATTATACTTCATTACCTCCATTTCCTCAACTTTAACATGGGGGTAATTTATTTTATGGGGTTGTTGTTAAGAGTTCTTAATACATGTTAAGGGCTCAATAAAATATTTTAACTTTTCAGATATTTCAGTCATAAACGTATTCCTTTAGGCCAACACATTAGCCCCACATTTAACTAGAGTAGTTGAGATATAGAGAGTATTAAAAATACACCTGCCCCCAAATTTCTTCTCCATCATCTTGCATCACTCTAAGAAATTTCCAACATTTGTCATTCCTTGCTTTCAATTTGGAGATGAGGTTATTTTTTCCCTTCTTTATTTTTTTTTACTTTTATTTTAGGTTCAGGGGTACAAGCGCATCTTTGTTACATAGGTAAACATGTTTAATCTGATTAAAATGTCATTTTCCCTTTTCTAAAATGGGGAAAATATAAGTTAGTTAACATGTTCATAGAATGCAGAGCCCTGAGTCAATTAGGTACACAAACATGAAATTTGACTTGGAGTCAAATAGACTTTCAATTATATACCAGAAGAAGTTAATGATGACCCACAATTACCACCACCCAACACACACACACACACACACACACACACACAACCACTAGAAGCACACAGAAATGCTGGATGAAATATGATCATTTAAAAAAATATGTATAGCAGATTTAAAAGAAAGGAAGGAGAAATTGAAAAATAAAAGAAGGGATAGGGGAAAGAAGAAGAAAGGGGGAAAGGAAGAAGAAAGGGGAGAGGGAGTGGAGAAGGGAAAGAAAAGAGAAAATGAAAGAGGAAAGAACGAAGGGGAAAGGAAAGCAGGAACGGAGAAGGTAATAGGAATGAAGAAGTATTAATAACAAAGTGAGAATGGTAAGCTAAAACCAAAAGAATGTTAGCCCTTCACTCTATAAAACCTACCTACAGACCATAGAACAGTCAGCTAGGATTTTTTTTCTTTCTTTTCTTTTTTTTTTTTTTTTTTTTGTTTTAAACAGGGTATCACTCTGTCACCCAAGCTGTAGTGCAGTGCTGTGATCATGGTTCACTGCAAACTCTGCCTGCGCTCAAGTGATCCTCCTAGCTCAGTCTCCTGAATAGCTGGGACTATAGGCACACATCACCATGCTCAGCTAATTTTTTGTATGTTTTTGTAGAGATGGGGTTTCACCATATTCCCCAGGCTGGTCTCAAACTCCCGGGCTGAAGCGATTCTCCTGCCTTGGTCTCCCAAAGTGCTGGAATTATAGACTTTGGCCACTGCGCCAAGCCAGAATTTTATGGCTTAGGGAGATACATCAATTTTGGGTCCCTACTCAGGTGAGGTAGATTGTTATAAAGCTAGAAGCCTCAAAATCCAGTCCTATCTGTAAAGGAGAAACTAATAAATGAATAAATAAACAAACAAATAAACAAAAGACTTGAGGAAGTGGTAAGAAAGATTGCTTTCTAACCAAGAATGTGAATTGGGAAATGAAAGTTCAGCCATATTAAATCAAAACCCCAAGCCTAGATGATAAGAAGAATTATTGGGTTGAAAATTGTCTCTTCCCATGTAATATAGGGCCTCAGACAGAAAAAAATAATGAAAGAATTCTTCTAGGACAGATCAAACACCTTGGATTCCAGAAAAATAAGAAAAGGTGATACAACAAGCTCTAAATATGAGCTTTACAGATTTTACAGGTTTGCCTAAAGCTATACCTGCCCAAAAGAAAAAAGACGAGAATTTTTCCTTGGGAAGTGTCCCTGAGTTTTTAAATGTGAATTTCTGCCATGCTATGACATGGTCTCCTAAAGAAGATGGTGCTAATTTAGCCTGAGTTGAGTAAAACAACGATATTCAATGATTTTCAACCCACATAAAGGGCATTAACATAAAAATCTCTGAATAATCTGTCATATTCTATAAAAATAACTGTATCATTACTGCTTCTTTTACTATTTATAAAGCCCACCTTTGCTACCTAAATTTTCAAGTTTAAAACATTCAGAAATATTGGTGTGCAAAATAGTATGAACTATTTTCTTCTTTTAAATATTGATGTTTATTTTACCTTAAATGTCACAGTTAATGTCTCCATTGTTTTTTCAAACAGTTATAATTTTTATCTTCTTTGTTTGAACTAGATAAAGAAGAAAGACAGGAAATATCAGGCAGGTAGAGATGCTAATTTTTCCCCTTATTTAAACAAATAGAATACAGTTAGAACATTTATTCAAATATGTCCAGATTGGTACAATTGGAACATCAAAAAAAAATGAAACAGCAGTTGGACAGATGCATGAAAAATTAAGCCATGCCCATAATGAGTGTAACTTGCACAATTCTAGTCATTTCCTGAAATGCCATTGTTTTTTAAAATGTGTTTCCTTGATGCATTTTTAAATATGTATTACACAAAATTTCTTTTGGAAGAATTCACATAGAGCATGGTAGGAAATAAAGGCTGAAGTGATATGCAATAAAAGTACAAACAAAAATGACACTTATTTGCAATTATTATCTTATGTTATTAGTACTAACAACTAGGCCTGAAGTTAACAGAGCATGATGTGGTTCATGATTTCTTTGTGCTCTGATGGAAGCTAAGAAAGCCCAGCATTCTGGGAAGCCAAATCATTAAACCGTATAAATAAACAACAATTAACGGTACTTTAAAATAAATGATATGGATGTTTATATCTCTGCTTTCTAATTTTTAGACATGGAGTGGAGTGTAATTTAGTGTAATTGCCACAAGATAACAAGGCATATTAGTTTGGTATTGTCACTTACTAACTACCTATGCAACTTTAGGCAAGCCATCTAAACTTTTAAGCCTTTGTGCTGTTTTGTTTTGTTTTTTGGTAAATGCAAATAATATATTTACCTGCTCACCATCAAAGATTTGATTATCAAAATAGGAATACGGATAAAAATGCCTGGTGGTTTTCATTCAAGGCAGGAGTTTCAGCTAAAAATTTTAATTATCCTCAAACTTTCCAACCAGATTAAAATGGTAGCTATGTTATCAAGAAGCTATTTGCCAAGTTATTCATTAGATAGGATGGCAGAAATGACTGCCTTATATTCTTTGCTTTTGGGGACTGAGGAGCAAGCCATGCAACACTGAAACTAAATTTTATTTTCTTAACATAATTAAGGTTCAATTTTGAACTTTCATTGTTTAATTATATCAAAAGAACCTGTGCAAAATTCCAAATATATAGTTTCTCTTCAAATGTGATTATTTTGGGAAGCTGCTCCAAAATTGCCACAAGCCCCACTTGGTTCTAGAGATGGACATATTATATGATTTAAGAACAGGCAGAATTGTTTTGCAAAATAAATAGAAAATAAATACCATCTCTTTTTACTGTGCTTCGCTTAATTGTGCTTCATAGATACCATGTTTTTTACAAATTGAAGTTTTGCCTTGCATAAAGCAAGTCTATTGGTGCCTTTTTTTTTTAACAGCACATGTTCACTTTGTGTCTACATCACATATTTGTAATTCTCACATTATTTCAAACTTTTTCCTTATTCTTATATCTGTTGTAGTGATCCGTAATCAATGATTTTTGATATTACTATTGTAATTATTTTGGGATGCCACAAACCATACCCATGTAAAATAGCAAACTTAATATATAAATGGTGTATGTGTTCTGTTGACTACCCACTGACTGGCCATTTCCCCTTCTCCCTCCCTCTTTTCAGGCCTCCCTATTCCCTGACAGACAACAATTTTGACATTATACCAGTGAATAACTCTATAATGGACTCTAAGTATTCAAGTAAAAAGAAGAGTCACATATCTCTCACTTTAAATCAAAAGTTAGAAATGATTAAGCTTAGTGAAGAAAGCATGTTGAAAGCTCAGAGTGGTAAAAACAAGGCCTCATGTGCCAAATATTTAGCCAGCTTTTGAAGGCAAAGAAAAAGTTATTGAAGGACATTAAAAGTGCTACTCCTGTGAACATCCAAAAGATAATAAAGTGAAATAGGCTTATTGCTGGTATAGACAAAGTTTCAGTAATCTGGACAGAGGATCAAATCAGCCACATCATTCCCTTCAGACACAGCCCAATTCAGGGCAAAGCTTTATCTCACTTCAATTCTATGAAGGCTGAAAGAAGTGAGGAAGCTGCAGAAAAAAAAGAGTGGAAGGTAATAGAGGTTGGTTCATGAGGTTTAAAGAAAGAAGCCATCTCCATAACCTAAAAGTGCAAGGTGAAGCAGTAAGTGCTGCAGAAAGTTAATCAGAAGATCTAGTTACTTGATGAGGGTGGCTATATTAAATAATGAATATTCAACGTAGACCAAACAGCCTTATATATTAAAAGAAGATGCCATCTAGAGTTTTACTGTTAGAAAGAAGTCAATATCGGCTTCTAAGCTTCAAAGGACAGGCTGACTCTCTTGTTAGGGCCTAATGCAGCTGACCACTTTAAGTTGAAGCCAATGCTTATTTACCATTTAAAAATTCCAAGGCTCTTAAAAATATGCCAGATATACTCTGCATATGCTCTATAAATGGAAGAACAAAGCCTGGATGACAACATATTTGTTTACAGTATAGTTTACTGAATATTTTAAATCCACTGTTGAGACCTACTGCTTAGAAAAAAGACATTTCTTTCAAAGTATGGCTGCTCATTGACAATTCATCTAGACACCCCAGAGCTCTGAAGGAGGTGTACAGGGAGATTAATGTTGTTTTTATGCCTGCTAATACCACAACCATTCTGCAGTCCATAGATCAAGGAGTAATTTTGACTTTCAAGTACTATAGTTTAATAAAAATATTTTATAAGACCATAGTTGATGTAGATAACAATTCTCTGGTGGATTTGGGCAAAAAATACTGAAAACCTTCTGGAAAGAATTCATCATTATAGATTTCATTAAGCACACTTGTGATTCATGAGAGGAGGTCAAACCATCAAATTTAACAGAAGTTGATTCCAAACCTCATGCATGACTTTGAGAGGTTTAAGACTTAAGTGGAGGAAGTAACTGAAGTTATGGCAGAAACAGAAAGCATCCTAGAATTAGAAGTGGTGCCTGAATATGTGACTAAAATGCTGCAATCTCATCATAAAACTTGAACAGATCAGTAGTTGCTTATTATGGATGATCAAAGAAAGTGGTTTGTTGAGATGAAATTTACTCCTAGTAAAGATGCTATGAACATTGTTGACATGACAGCAAAGGGTTTAGAAAGTTACATAAACGGATCATGTAGTGTCAGAGTTGAATAGAATTGACTCCAATTTTGAAAGAAGTGGTACTGTGAGTAAAATGCTATCAAAAAGCATCACATGCCACAGATAAATGTTTCATGAAAAGAAGAATCAATTGATGCGACTAACTTTATTGTTCTCTTATTTTAAGAAATTGCCAGAGCCACCCCAACTTTCAGCAATCACAAATGAGATCAGATAGCAGCCATCAACATAGAGGCAAGATCTTCCACAGCAAAAAAATTATGACTCACTGAAGGGTTGGACAGTTGTTAGTGAAATAAAGTGTGTTTTTGTTGTTGTTGTTGTTGTTGTTTTAATTTTTGGAGACAGAGTCTCACTCTGTCACCCAGGCTAGAGCGCAGTGGTGCAATCGTGACTCACTGAAGCTTTGAACTGCTGGGCTCAGGTGATCTTCCCACCTCAATCTCCTGAGTAGCTGGGACCACAGACATGTGCCACCACACCCAGCTAATTTTTTGTATTTTTTTATAGAGACAGCATTTCGTCATGTTGCCAGGCTGATCTCGAATTTCTGGGCTCAAACAGTTCTGCCTTGTCCTCCTAAAGTGCTAAGATTACAGGCTTGAGGCACAGTGCCAGGCCAGGTGTTTTTAAATTAAAGTATATACATTGTTTTCTTAGACATAATGCTATTGCACATTTAATAGACTATGGTATAGTGTAAAAGTAACTTTTATACACCCTGGGAAAGCAAAATTTAAAAAAGTGACTAGCTTTATTTTGATATTTGTTTCATTGCAATGGTCTGGAACCAAACCCACAATATTTCTGAGGTATGCCTGCATATAAAAGGGCACGATGGCCAACTAGATGCAGCCAGGAAGTGCTGCTTGCACCAAGTGAGACTGAATCATCTTGTAAACCACCATAATTTGGACAGTTTTTTGGAAATAAAAGGCTGAGAATGTATAGAGGGGTGATGTTGAAGCTGAGGTTGAAGAGAGAGGAAGCTGGTAATCCTCCACGCATTCCCAAACACTAGATCTAGTTCCTGGCCCCAAATGGCTTCTGGGAAAGGGATGAAGAGGGAACTGGGGGATGGTTCCCTCTTGCCATGGAACTCCGAGATCCTAGCTGCAGGATACCTCATGTCATCCATGGATGTGTGAGCTGGTAGGGAGATCTCCTTAGGGAGCAGGCAGCGACAGTCCCTCAGATGGCACAGAGCCCAGGAGCTTTTGTTTGCTGGGCAGCACCAACAGACAGTCATCAGAGATGCGCATCCCCCAGGTTCCCCATCCCTTTTCAGGAGGCACTGCCCAAGTTTACCTGAGCCAGGAGAAAGTGGGGCCGGCTTCCCTGTTGTACTAGACAGGATCTGTTCTGCAAGCCCTCCTGTCCACCAGCCCATCCTTTGGCCCATGTCTAGCTACCCCAGAAAACAGATGCACAGTGTAGCCTCCATGGCCCAGCACGAGTACACTGCTACACCTGAGTACATTATCAGAGAACCAGGAGTACACTGAATCCTCCAATGCAGCTGGAACCCAACCCCAAGCCATGGGATTTCCTGGTGCCCCTAGAGGGTGCAGCATGCAGTTCAGGAGTGCAGAGCTGCAGTCTGTGGCCAGCACTCAAGCAGAGGAGGAGCCCTTATCCTGAGAGCACTGAGAGGGGCAAGATGTGCAGGTTCCCAGGCTGGAGAGGGAGCAAAGCATTCTTCCCTCCACAGGGCTGGTCCAGAAAAGGTGTGGGACGTCTCCCTGCCACAGTCTGTGCCCAAGGGGGCCCCATGGCCTGGAACATCTAACAAAAGAAATGCAAGCACAGTACCAGTGATTGGAGGAGGGTCCCCCAAGTCCCTTGAATGGATCTGGTGAGAGAAACATCTTTCTCCCTGCCCCTACTGCAGAAAATACCTGTTAACATGAGGAAGTACAAAAGAGCCATATGGCTGGGTATTAGCCTGGCTACTGGCGATTACTCTTAAGCACCGTCTACTGGATCACAGCCCAAACAGCACCAAAAATTATCCCACTAACATGTATACCTGTAAAACCAAGCACAAGAATTCATCCACAAATAAAGATCCTGTACAGCACCTTGGCCCTCTGAAAGTATCCAGGAATGAAGCCAACTGACTATACTCAACTTACAGCATGGCTTTAACACCAACTGTCCCAGATGACAAAAAATCAGCACAAGAAATCTGGCAATTAAAAGAGCCAGAGTGTCCCCTTACCTTCAAACGAGTCCACTAGCTCTCTGGCAATGGTTCATAACCAGTCTGAAATGACTGAAATAACAGAAATAGAATACAGAATCTGGATGGCAAGGGAGCTCATCAAGATTCAGAAGAAAGTGGTAACACAATACAGGGAAACCAAGGAATCCAGTAAAATTATCTAAGACCTGAAAGACAAAATAACCATTTTAAGAAAGAACTAAACTGAACTTCTGGAAAGGAAAAAGTCACTACAAGAATTTCAGAATACTATCAGAATTAGGAACAGCAGAAGAGGTCAAGCTGGGGAAGCAATATCAGAGCTTGAGTTCCACTTATTTGAATCAGCTCAGTCAGATAAAAATAAAGAAAAAGGAATTTAAAAAATGAACAAAATCTCTGATAAATATGAGATTATGAAAAGAGAACAAATCTGCTACTTATTGGCCTTCTTGAGAGAGAAAAAAGAGAATAAACAACTTGAAAAATATATCTGAGGATATAGTCCATGAAAATTTCCCTAATCTTGCTAGGAAGGTTGACACAAATCCAAGAAATAGAGAACCCTGGCTAGATACTATAAAAAAAAATCACTATCCTCAAGGCATATATTCATCATATTCAGCATGGTCAAAGCAAAAGAAAAAATCTTGAAGGCAGCTAGAGAGAAGGGTCAAGTCACACACAGAGGAGACCCCATCAGGCTGGCAGCAGAACTCTCAGCAAAAACGTTGCAAGCCAGAAGAGAGTGCGGCCTTTTTTCCAGCATCCTTAAAGAAAAGAAATTCCAACCAAGAATTTCATATTCTGCCAAACTAAGCTGCATAAGTGAAGGAGAAATAAAATCCTCAGAAAACAAGTGCTGAAGAAATGTGTTTCTACTAGACCAGCATTACAAGAGGCCCTTAAGGGAGTGTTAAACATAGAACCAAAAAAATGATACCTGCTACCATAAAAACACACAGCTACATAGCCCATAGGCACTATAAAGCTGTTACACAATAAAATCTGCATAACAACCAGCTAACAACATGATGAGAGGTTCAAAGTTACACACAACAATATTAACTTTCAATGTAAATAGCCTAAATACCACTCTTAAAAGACATAGAGTGCCAAGCTAGATAAAAAGCAAGACCAACCATCTGTTATCTTCAAGAGACCAGTCTCACATGTAACAATACCCAAAGGCTCAAAGTAAAGGGATTAAGATCTACCATGCAAATGGAAAACAAATCAGCGTAGGAGTCACCACTGTATTTATATCAAATAAAACAGACCTTAAACCAATAAAAATTAAGGGCAATGAAAGACATTAAATAATGATAAAGAGTAAAATTCCACAAGAAGACTTAATTATTCTAAATATGTAAGCACCCAATGTCACAGCAATGAGATTCAGAAAACAAGTTCGTAGAGATCTACAAAGAGATTTAAACGTCACACAATGACAGTGGGAGACTTCAACGCCCCACTGACAGTGTTAGACACATTATCAAGGCAGAAAACTAAGAAACTCTGGATTTACAATTGACACTTGACCAATTGGAGCCAATAGACATCTACAGAACACTCCAACAACCAACCACAGAATATACATTTTTCGTATCTGTGCATGGAACATATTCTAAGATTGACCACATACTTGGTCATAATACAAGATTCAATAAATTCAAAAAAATTAAAATCATACCAAGCATACTCTCAGACAACAGAGCAATAAAAATAGAAATCAATATCAAGATCTCTAAAAACTATGCAAATACATGGAAATTAAATAACTTGTTTCTGAATAACTCCTGGGTGAACATCAATATTAAGGCAGAAATAAAACATTTTTTGAAATTAATGAAAATAGGGACACAACTTAGCAATACCTCTAGGATGCAACTAAAGCAGTATTAAGAGGGAAGTTTATAGCCCCAAATGCCCTCATCAAAAAGTTAGAAAGAGCTGAAACTAACAATCTTTGTACCAAAACGAACTAGCAGGGCAAAGAAAACCTGCGAAAACTAGCAGAAGAAAAGAAATAACTAAAATTAGAGAACTTAATGAAATTGAGATGCAAAAATTTATAAAAAGATCAAGGATATGAAAATCTTGTTCTTTGAAAAAAAAAAAAAACAAGATTGGTAGACCACTAAGAAAAATCCATATAATTACAATCAAAAATGACAAAGATGACATTATAATTGATCACACAGAAATACAAAAGATCCACAAAGAATACTATCAACAACTCTATGCACAAAAATTAGAAAATCTAGAGGAAATTGACAAATTCCTGGAAACATACAATCTCCCAAAATTGAACAAGGAGGACTGAAACACTGAACTGACCAATATTTTGCTCTGAAATTGAATCAGTAATAATAAAAAAAACCAAGTGAAAAAATTCCTAAGCAGATGGATTGACAGCCAAATTTTACTGGACATATAAAGAACTGGTATCAACACTGCTCAAACTATTACAAAAAAATAAAACAGAAGGGACTCCTCCATAACTCATTCTATGAAGCCAGCATCAGCCTAATACCAAAATCTGACAGAGACCCGACAAAGAAAGAAAACTTCAGGCCAATATCCCTGATTATCATAAATGCAAAATCCTCAACAAAATATTAGCAAACCAAATCCAGCAGTACAGGTGGCAGGCGCCACCGCACCCAGCTAATTTTTGTATTTTTAGTAGAGACGGAGTTTCACCATGTTGGCCAGGCTGGTCTTGAACTCCTGACCTCCTGATCCGCCCGCCTTGGCCTCCCAAAGTGTTGGGATTACAGGCGTGAGCCACCACGCCAGGCTGATAAAATCCAACTTTGTTTCATGATAAAACCCTCAGCATTGTAGGCAATGGAGGAATATACCTAATATACCTTAAAATAATCCACCTTTGACAAACCTACAGCCAATATCATACTGAATGGGCAAAAGCTGGAACTATTCCTTTTTAGAACTGTAACAAGACAGGGATGCCCACTCTCACCACTACTATTCAACATAGTACTGTAATTTCTAGCCAGGTCGATCAGGAAAGATAAAGAAATAAAAGGCATCCAAATAGGAAAAGAAAAATCAAAGTATCTCTTTTGCTGACAATATCATTTTATATGTAGAAAACCCTAAAGACACTATCAAATGACTACTAGAACTGATAAATGAGTTTAGCAAAATTTCAGTATATAAAATGAAAGCACAAAAATTAGTAGCATTTCTATACTACAATAATGCCCTGGCCGGGAGTCAAATCAAGAAAAAAATCCCATTTACATATCCACAAAGAAAATTAAATACCTTAGAATACAGCTAAATAAGGAGATGAAAGAGCTCTTCGAGGAGAACTAAAAACACTGCTTAAAGACATCAGAGATGACATAAATAATTGGAAAAATATTCCATGCTCATAGGTTAAAAGAATCAATAGTAATATGGCCATTCTGCCCAAAACAATTTACAGATTTAACACTACTCCTATCCAACAACTAACACCATTTTTCTAGAATTAGCAAAAACAAACAAAACAAACAAAAAAACCATTCTAAAATTTATATGGAATCAAAAATTCCCCCAAATCCAAACCAATCCTAAGCTTAAAGACTAAAGCTGAAGGAATCACACTACCTGAATTCAAACTATGCTGTAAGTCTATAACAACCAAACAGCATGTTACTGGTACAAAAACAGACACATAGACCAATGGAACTGAATAGAAAACTCAGAAATAAGGCTGCACACTTACAACCATATGATCTTTGACAAGGCCATCAATAGCAAGCAATGGAGAAAGGATTCCCTATTCAATAAATGGTGCTGGGATAACTGGCTGGCCATATGCGGAAGAATGAAACTAGACCATTGCATTTCACTGTGTACAAAAATTAACTCAAGATACATTTAATTTTTTTTTTTTAAGAGAGGATGTCACTCTGTCGCCAGACTGGTGTGCAGTGGTACAATCGTGGCTTACTACAGCCTCAACCAACTGGACTCAGGTGATCCTCCTACCTCAGTCACCAGAGTTGCTGGGACCACAGGTATACATTACCATGCCCGGCTCATTTTTGTATTATTTTGTACATATTGCCAGGCTGGTCTCAAACTTCTGGGCTCAAATGATCTGCCTGTCTCGACCTCCCAAAGGGCTAGGATCACAGGTGTGAGCCACCATGCTCGGCAAAATCTAATATTTAAATGTAAGACTTCAGAGTATAAAAATCTTAGAAGACATGTAAAAAATACCCTTCTCAGCATCTGCCTTGGCAAATAATTTTTGGCTAAGTCCCCAACAGCAATTATACCCCCACCCAAAAATATAGACAAACTGGACCTAATTAAACTAAAAAAAGCTTCTGGACAGCAAAAGAAACTATCAAGAGAGCAAACAGACAATCTACCAAATGGGAGAAAATACTTGCAAACTATGTATGAGACAAAGGTCTGATATTCAGAATCTATAAGGAACTTAATTCAACAAGCAAAAACCAAATAACCCAATTAAAAATGGTCAAAGTAAACGAGCAAACACTTCTCAAAAGAGAGAAAAGCAGCCAACAAACATGAAAAATATTTGCTCGACATCACTAATCATCAGTCACTAATCACAAATCAAATCCACAATGAGATACTATCTCACACCAGTCAAAATGGCTATTATTAAAAGTAAACTAACAAATGTTGGCAAGGTTGTAGAGAAAAAGGAACACATATGCACTGCTTATGGGAATGTAAATTAGTTCAGCCACTGTGGAAAGTAGTTTGGGGATTTCTCAAATAACTTAAAACAGAGCTACCATTCAACCCAGTAATCCCTTTACTGGGTATATACCCACCCCCAAAAAATAAGTGATTTTACCAAAAAGGCACATACACTCGTAAGTTCATCACTGTGCTATTCACAATTGCGAAGACAGGGAATCAACCCATGTGCCCATCAATGGTAGATTGAATAAAGAAAATGTAGTACATATACCCCATGGAATACTATGCAGCCATAATATATAATAAAATTATGTCCTTTGCAGCAATGTGGATGGAACTAGAGGCCATAATCCTAAGCAAATTAATGCAGGAACAAAAGACCAAATACCATGTCTTCTCATTTATAATGGGAGCTAAACATTGAGCACCCATGAACATAAACATGGAAACAATGGACACTGTGTAGACTGCTAGAGAGGTGAGGGAGGGAGGGAAGCAAGGTTCAAAAAACTACCTGTTGTGAACTATGCTCACCTCCTGAGTGCATTATACCCATGTGATAAAATACCCCCTGTATCTCAAATAAAATATACCCTACGTATCTAAAATAAAAATGAAAAAAAGGAATGCCCAGGATAGATTACTGAATGATGAGAAGCATAATGAGAGAAACTCTGTAGTTCAAGGCTACCCTGAACTTCTTAGCTACGGCAGAGTTCCTAACCGAGTACCACTACATGAATAACCCCAGCCAATATTATGGGAACAAATACCACCCAGCTGATTCCCGCTTTAATTCTTAACCCACAGAATTAAAACGTATGCTTAATTATTTTCTATATTTTAAAATATATATGACAGCTTAGTACTTGCATTCTTAAAAGTTAGGAGAAACAAAAACAAGTAACATATTGAAAATTTCATATAAGAAAAAGTATGAAAAAATACTAAAGATGGGGCAAAGTGTAAGAATTACAAAATGGGCATAATTTTAATATAATAGCCAGAAGAAGCCTGGACCAGAAAGTAACATCTGAATCAGCACCTAAGAAAACCGAAAGAGTGAGTCCTGCTGATGTGTAAACGTGTATTACTGTATACATTATTAAAATGACTTTGGTTTTTACCCCAAGATTGGGATATAATGGAGAATTTTTAGCATAGGTATGTTTGGCAGTCAGCTCTTCTTTTCAAAGTCTTTAAGGAACTCAGCTTCCTTATATCATCTTCAGCACTGGTAACTTCATGGCCAAAGATGAATAACTTATGTGATATGACCTCATGCAGCAAATGGTGGCACAATTTTACTGCAAGAACAGCTGGACAGTCAAATGTCCAGCAGCAATTCTATTATTATGAAAGGAGATAATAGATTCTGGTGGACAGCTAGAATAGATTTAGGTGGACAGCTGAAGTCATTACCATATACATGACAATTTAAGCCACAGTACTACATGAGATGAACAAGGGAGTAAATGTGAAATATATGAGGATAATACAAGTAAATGACTATAAAAAAGCTCCAAATAGTCTACATCTCTGTGATTTTGATCATATTAAGTGCAATGAACCCATGACAGATAGAATTTAAATAAGGTCTTGATAAAAAATTGACGGTATGAATGTGATTTCTCTTTGTTGAAAATGAGACCCCCTCCTTATACTAATAATATTATAAATAAATATACTGCATGGAAATGAAGAATGTATTATTAATACATAATCCAGGTATAGCCTAGATTTGAGCTTGTTAGTTTTACATTGGGTGGTAAGGGATGGGTAACATTCAGGTGGGCTTTGAACAGAGAACTGAATATGAGTGGTAAGTTAAAGAACTTGAAGAGAACTTGGGAGTTTAAGAAGCTCTTGGGACTCATATCTGTATTTTACCTATTGGCATAATCACAGCAATGCAAAAAAGAAATGGTGCTCATTAATCCATATTATTTAACCTATTCTAATTGTGGGAGGCTCTAAGAAATAGTCAAGTTCATTCCTTTGATGATTATTATAAAAGTATAATTACAAAAATTAATTGGGCTATTTACAATTGAGCAAACCTGGTTATTTAATTGCTCTCTCTGCACCTTATTTCAAACCAAAATGAACCACAGAAAGCATCAAAGTGTAGGGGAGAGTCAACATATTTTCCTCTTAAGCTGAGCAGACAATACCTCTTTGTTTTCCCTTAGTAATGTTTGTGGAGTTCTGGAATTAGGCGTTTACCTCACTGTCAAACTTCTTTCTTTACATGCCCAAACATTCACACTAGAATCCTTTCCCAGAAGCATCATCCAGTTTTTATAGGAAGCATTTTTTGGCTGCTTATTTGCATACCAAAGCCATGGCTGTTGGCCACACGGGGAGAGGAGATAAACCCAGAGGGGTCAGCTGTTCTAAACAGATTTTTAATTAATTATTTTGATTATTACTCCATTTCCAAGTGTCAATCTTCTATTTGTTTATACTGAGCATGCAGCTTCTTTGGGGTTTATTTGAAAATGACCACTATTACCTCTAATATTTGTTGATTAAATCAATTTAGTGCTATCTTCCTTGTAACTTTTAAGAACCCCAAAAATTTGATTTGCTGAGGATATTCCTTCTGGTTCCTAACAACTATTAGATTTTTATTAATTTCTTTAAATATCTTTCTGTCATATAAAAGGAGACTTTTGAGAGACTAAATATCTCAAAACCAGCTTTACTAGGTTTGATTCTCAGTTCCATCAGTTAATAACTTGTAAACTTAGGAAAACTAATCATTTTAAGTCTAAGTTCCTTCATTTCTAAAACATGATAATATTTACTACTTCAGAGTAATTATTTTGTGGATGGCTTTGAATAATTAGGCTGGTCTCTAGGATATAGTAAGTATTCAGTAGATATAGATTCTAAAATATTTTTATTATTGTAAGACATATTACAGTCCAATTTGTTAAAACTAGGAACTATCTTATTTTTTATACTTTACTTTTTTCAGAGAATTTTCTAATGTGTCATTAGGGTACCAAGGAGATGTAGTTTACTAATCGGTTTGCTAACGTATATAGATGAAGTAGAAGTGTTTAGAAATAAACACAAAAATACACAACACTCACCAACACACAAACACAATATCAGATAATTGGACAAAAGTGCAGTTTGAGACCGATTTCAATTATAATTGTGCTGCAGGTCAGAAATAAAACCTGTAGCTCTTCCTGAAGATAAACATTGAGGTAAAAACAAGCAGTTGGTTGAAAAATACATTTGTATCACCATTAAAATGATAGTGACCAATGTTTTCTTGAGTATCTTCATCTTGTATGTAGTGGAAAAGCTAAATTTCATCATATATTTTCTCTCATATTTATTATAACAAACAACAGTGTACATTAAACTATTCAATATTCATCTCCTCATCATGTGGAATTAATATCTATCATTTTTGTAGGTTTGTGTGTGTACAAGGCATTATTCAGATTTGCATAAGTAGTTTGCAAAGTATGTATTGTCTTTTCTTCCCCGTAAAAATTGTTTTATTACTTTTCCTGCATTTGGAAGACCTGTTGCATTATTAATGTCTACATACATAATCTTCATATACTAATATATATTTTTTTAGTTTCCAAACACTTATTTTATTAAACAGAGACTGTGGACATAGTAAGTATTCAGTGTTTATTAGAAAAAACTTGCTTTTTATAAGATTTTTCTTTCATTGTTTCTCTTTATACATTCTCTTCTATATAGCCTTTACTTGGGATGCTGTATTCATTTAAATTACTTCTAAGGAAATGTTTCTACTGTAGAAAAGAGTCACAAAGTCAAAGTCATCATCATAAAAAAGAGCATATATCTCAAGTTGAGGTGTGTTTTTTTCCAACATTGCAGTCCTCCTTTTAGTTGCCTGCTTTCAAATTCAGCTTCATGCCAATAATTATCTACATAAAATTTTTTTTCAAATTGCAACACAAGGTAAAGTCCTCAAGCTATATTATTCTACACAATTCATTCTCATTTACTCAGGCCTTACTTATCTAGACTTCAGGTTCAACAACATATCATAGTTTACAGTTTTATGAATGAGTGGAGTCATTCTATGGGCTCTAAGAATCCATAGAGAGAGAAGTCTAGGATAAGTACAACCTCAGTCAGTTCAGATTGCTGTAACAGAATACTATAGAATGGGTAGTTTAAACAACAGACGTTTATTTCTCGTGAGTCTGAAAATGAAGAAGTTCAAGATCATGATGTTGGCATATCTGGTATCTGGTGATAGCACTCTTCCTGATTTGCAGATGGCTGTCTTCTTATACCCTCACATGGCCAAAAGGAAAATCATATCTCTCATATTTCTTCTTATAAGGGTACTAATTTCATTTATTAAGGCTTCACAATTATGACCTAATTACCTCCCAAAGGCTCTACCTTCTAATACCATCACATTGGGGATTAAAAGTTCAACATATACATTTGAAGGGACACAAATATAGTGTCCGTAATAAGTACTACCCTTTTTCTGTAGGATAGACTTTTCCATTCCCTCTTCCATGCAAATGTGTGTTTTATACCATCTTGCTGAAAGAACTTGATTTTAATCTTTTGAGATACATAAGATTGTTGTGATTTTTATAGAAGACTAAAAATTCATGCATCAGAAGCCTACGCTACAATTATTTATTAAATACTGTTTGTGAGCTACTGTAATTTTAGTTATTCTGAAAATATTTGAATTTTTTCACTTAACAGGACTTTCAGTCATGTTGAGAAAAGAGAAAACAGTTAAAATTTTCTAAAATTTTACACATAACCCTCCCACAGATGTATAAATATATATATCCCAAATAAACTTTTCTCTTCAAATGTGTAGAATATTTTTTATTGAGTTAAAGTGATTGTTCAGTGATTTAGAACACAGCTACTTGGCAAAACTACCTAACTGGAACAAAAAATGAAAATTCAAAAACAAGAAATAAGCACAACAAACAAAACAACATGAAATCAGTCTTTGAGCAGCCAAAAATTATGTTGTGAAGTCTAAAAATCAAACACTTTGTTTATAGCATTCTTTAAAGACTGTGGTTTTCTTTAAGACAATTTGATAAGTAACAAATTTGTTTGCAATGTGTGGAACTCACTCAGATCCTGATTAGAAGAAAACAACAGCAATAAAATGATTTGTAATAATAGAGGAAATTGAACATTATTGAGGTCTGAAAAATTATTATTAATGTGGAGCATATTATATGGCTTTGTTTATAAAAATCTTTATATATTAGAAATATACTGAAAATTTGTGGTTGAAATTATATGTACCATCATAGCCTTGAATTTGCTTTAAAATTGTCCAGACATGGGAAAATAAACGGTGGAGGTGGGATGGACATTTTATTTTCAATGCAACGAGAAAAGTGCAAATGATATTTGACCCATTAGTTGTTAATCTTTGCACAATATGTTGATCATAAACAGAGTTTTGGAATTGAAATGTATACAAAAGTTTGGAGAAGAGGAGTGACAGTGACTTCAACACACACAAATATAAATAATGTGAGTCCCTAAATAGTTATTTTTATATGCAGATATCTAAACACCTCCCAAAACTTTGGATTCATATGTAAAATTTTAAAAGAAATATTTCTAATTAATGTCTCAAAACAATCTCATAATTGTCTTAATTTTGATACCAACACAATAAGAAATTTTGAGAACCCTTTCTATACATAAGCAATCAAGTAAAGAAAATTTTATATTGGTTTATAAAATATGAGAGATAATGTTTAAACTACAGCACAGTCAATTCCTTAGTCTTAGATTTTCAAAGTAGCTGGTTAATAAATCCTCTTTCTCTTCTCATTGACAAGCAAACAGCAGTTTATTCTTACCATATTAGCCGAAACATATGAAGTTACACAATTTTATGAAAATAGATTTGATTTAAATGGCAAGCCTAGTCACACTGAAGGAAAAGTGCTTCTGCTATCACACATACATTTCTTGGAGCATTGGTCATTATTTGCAGGACTCCTTCCCAAATTACTAGTCAATTTTTTTGGGGTCAAGAAAGTCAGTGTAAGAGATATCACGCTATTGACCCTGATTTAAATCATGCCAAGAATTACTGGGAATGTAGGACTCTTATTGTATCTATCAATGACTACCCACATTTAGCCAGTTTTGTTCTTTCTTATTCAAACATGGAACAAAACATTGGAGTAATACATATGAATACTGATAATTCATTTGTTTTTCTTGGTGAATGTCATCCCTTTTTCTTTGACTATTAACATACATTATCTTACTTTCTATAAGACAGCTCAAGAAATAATCAGAAAAATGGCTTAGCAGTTAATAGGATATCTTTCTGTAGCAATGTCACTACAATTAAGGCTTACTATTACTATATTGGACTAAAGCTCTAAAGTATTTTCCAAAAAAATACTGTTTTTTTTTTTTTGGTATTGTTTTTAATTCTAGAGCAGCTTCATAAAGAACCTATTTACAGAAATAAGAGCAGGGATATAGTACAATGTAATACAAGATAACAACATCAGGAAGCAATTATTACCACTAGGAGTGGCTAGTTACTGGGAGATATTGTGGGTACGTGTGGGGGGATCTTTTGACATAAATTGTGGTCTTTTGTAGAAGGATGAAGTGAATGTACAGATAGCAACCTAGCAGTTAATGAATTGGGAGGAATGACCTCAATTTCATCCTGCCTTTCAATTTCTTGTTGTGGATCCTAATAGCCAAACTCAAAGGAAGTCAGAAAGCAAGGAAACACTTCAATGTAGTGCATACGGGTCATTCTACTAAGGCATGAAATAGAGTGAAAAAGGGATGGGTAGGCATCTAAAGGGAAAAATTGAGGATATCTTGCACACACTGTGTCTGCCTTCATGAATGACTGGACCCAAGAGATCGCATGTAGTTGATAGTAATCTCCTTTTGTCTATTTCTTGGTTTTCCTCTCCTCTGTGTTGACATTATTTTCAGGAAAATTCTCCCTATATGTTGGAATTTTTTTCTACTATTTTTTCTCTATTTTTAAATTTCTACTCTTTTTTTAGACTTTCCCCCAACATTTGGATTCTACTATAGTCGATCAGTCCCTGAAACTAAAGACTGTATTATTTCAATGTGCTATAACAAAAAAAAAAAGTCTCAGAGAAGAGACTCTGATTGATTATGCTTAGTTTCTGTGCACATTTCTCAATCAATCACTATAAATGAAAAAATATAGTGCTATGTCTGGCCACAGCAGTGTTCCTGGATCATGCCTAGGGCTTACAGGAATAAAGAAAGGAGGAGTAACTCAATCACAACAATGTGTATTAAGACAGTTCCTCAAAAACAAAAACAAAAACAAACAAACAAAAACAGATGCTACCACCACATGAAGGGGAAAGGGAATTTGGGGTAGGCAAAAACAATATTCATTATATGTTCTATTTTTACCCATTACATTTCGCTCACTGTGCCTCAAATAAATGTTCTGACAATAGTAAGATGGGTTTATACTTTTGATAGGGCTTAGGTATTTTATTTTTTAAATAAAAGCTGTTCTAAACGATTCTTATTTGAAGTCAAGGTTGATAACCAGTTATATAGTTATTCATTCATAAAAATTTCAAAAGTAATTATATTAGTGAAAGTTGCATTTGTTCTCAATAATAAGCTATCTAATTTAAATCCAAATAATATGTTATGGTAAGGAAGTTACTATTTCAACTAATAAGCAGCCATGTTTATATCCTGAGATTAAAAGGCCACCATTAAGGGGTAATAAAAATGTCTGAATAAGGTAAACACTTTATAAAGTACATACCTTTGAGGAGTACTGAGCTATCTGGAAATGTAGTCTGCAACATGACACATAAGATTCCCTCAACTTTAGTGCAGTTCTAAGGTTTTTCTTTGATTTCTTAATATTGTTTAATAAGTATACTTATTAAATACCTAGCAGAACAAATAACTTTGATAGATGATAAAGGAAGTATAAATGTTGAAACACCCCTTGCCCATTCCATATACCAAAATAAAAATTTATACAAACATGAGGGGACATTAGTGAGAAGGAGATTAATTCTTATAAAGTCAATCAGTAATTTATTGAAGGAAATGAGATTTGCATCAATCCTGTAAAAGAAGATATTTAGAGAGTTGATACATTCTATATTCACAAGATTTTATATAAATTCCAACCTATGTTACATGAATAATAAATATTTAGGAAGTGAATATATTCACATATGAATAAATTAATGCACAATAATATTGAAAAGATTTTTTTGTTCTCTTTTTTTATTATACTTTAAGTTTTCAGATACATGTGCAGAATGTGCAGGTTTGTTACATAGGTATACATGTGCCATGGGGATTTGTTACACCCACCAACTCGTCATCTACATTAGGTGTTTCTCCTAATGCTATCCCTCCCCTAGCCCCAACCCCCCAACATGCCCTGGTATGTGATATTCCCCTCCCTGTGTCCATGTGTTCTCATTGTTCAACTCCAACCTATGAGTGAGAACATGCGGTGTTTGGTTTTCTGTTCTTGTGTTAGTTTGCTGAGAATCATGGTTTCCAGCTCCATCCATGTCCCTGCAAATGACATGAACTCATCCTTTTTTTGTGGCTGCATAGTATTCCATGGTGTACCTGTGCCACATTTTCTTTATCCAGTCTAGCACTGATGGGCATTTGGGTTGGTTCCAAGTCTTTGCTATTGTGAAGAGTGCTGCAATAAACACATGTGTGCATGTGTCTTTATAGTAGAATGATTTATAATCCTTTGGGTATATACCCAGTAATGGGAATACTGGGTCAAATAGTATTTCTGGTTCTAGATCCTTGAGGAATCACCACACTGTATTCCACAATGGTTGAACTAATTTACACTCCCACCAACAGTGTAAAAGTATTCCTATTTCTCCACATCCTCTCCACCATCTGTTGTTTCCTGACTTTTTAATGATCGCTATTCTAACTGGTGTGAGATGGTATCTTATTGTGGTTTTGACTTGCATTTCTCTAATGATCAGTGATGATGAGCTTTTTTACATATGTTTGTTAGCTGCATAAATGTCTTCTTTTGAGAAGTGTCTGTTCATATCCTTTGCCCACTTTTTGATTTTTTTTCCTTTAAATTTGTTTAAGTTATTTGTAGATTCTGGATATTAGCCCTTTTTCAGATGGATAGATTGCAAAAATGTTCTCCCATTCTGTACGTTGCCTGCTCACTCTGATAATAGTTTCTTTTACTGTGCAGAAGCTCTTTAGTTTAATTAGATCTCATTTGTCAACTTTGGCTTTTGCTGCCATTGCTTTTGGTGTTTTAGCTATGAAGTCTTGGCCATGCCTATGTGCTGAATGGTATTGCCTAGGTTTTCTTCTAGGGTTTTTATAGTTTTAGGTCTTACATTTAAGTCTTTAATCCATCTTGAGTTAATTTCTGTAAGGTGTAAGGAATGGGTCCAGTTTTAGTTTTCTGCATATGTCTAGCCAGTTTTCCCAACATCATTTATTAAATAGGGAATCCTTTCCCCATTACTTTTGTCAGGTTTGTCAAAGATCAGATGGTTGTAGATGTGTGGGGTTATTTCAAGGCCTCTGTTCTGTTCCATTGGTCTATATATCTGTTATGGTAGCAGTACCATGTTGTTTTGGTTACTGCAGCCTTGTTGCATAGTTTGAAGTCAGGTAGCATGATGCCTCCAGCTTTGCTCCTTTTGCTTAGGATAGTCTTGGCAATTGGGCTCCTTTTTGGTTCCATATAAAATGTAAGGTAGTTTTTTCCAATTCTGTGAAGAAAGTCAAGGGTAGCTTGATGAGGATAGCATTGAATCTATAAATTAATTTGGGCAGTATGGCCATTTTCACAATATTGATTCTTCCTACCCATGAGCATGGAATGTTTTTCCATTTGTTTGTGTTCTCTCTTATTTCCTTGAACAGTGGTTTGTAGTTCTGCTTTAAGAGGTCCTTCACATCCCTTGTAAGTTGTATTTCTAGGTATTTTATTCTCTTTGTAGCAATTGTGAATGGGAGTTCACTCATGATTTGGCTCTCTGTCTATTATTGGTGTATAGGAATGCTTGTGATTTCTGCACACTGATTTTGTATATGAGACTTTGCTGAAGTGGCTTAACCTGATAAGCCACTTCAGCAAAGTTGAGGCGATGGGGTTTTCTAAATATACAATCATGTCATCTGCAAACTGAGGCAAATTTCACTTCCTCTCTTCCTATTTGAATACCCTTTATTTCTTTCTCTTGCCTGATTGCCCTGGCCAGAACTTCCAATACTATGTTAAATAGGAGTGGTGAGAGAGGGCATCCTTGTCTTGTGCCAGTTTTCAAAGGGAATGCTTCCAGTTTGCCCATTCAGTATGATATTTGTTGTGGGTTTGTCATAAATACCTCTTATTATTTTGAGATACGTTCCATCAATACCTAGTTTATTGAGGATTTTTAGCATGAAGGGGTGTTGAATTGTATTGACGGCCTTTTCTGCATGTATTTAGATAATCATGTGGTTTTTGTCATTTTCTGCATGTCAATACATGCAGAAATACATACATTTCTGCATGTATTGAGATAATCATGTGGTTCTGTTTATGTGATGGATTACACTTATTGATTTGCATATGTTGAACCAGCCTTGCATCCCAGAGATGAAGCCAACTTGATCACAGTGGATAAGCTTGTTGATGTGCTGCTGGATTTGGTTTGCAGGATTTTAATGAGGATTTTCACGTTGATGTTCATCAGGGATATTGGCCTGAAATTTTCTTTTGTTTTGTCTCAGCCAGGTTTTTTTATTAGGATGATGTTGGCCTCATAAAATGAGTTAGGGAGGAGTCCCTCTT